>NC_000009.12:35010000-35161515 GCF_000001405.40 Homo sapiens | reverse complement strand
GTATCTCCAATGTCTGGAATAGTGCCTAGTGTATGGTAATCAGTCCGTAAATATTTACTGAATGAAGGATGGTAACCACGGAGGGATTGTGAGTGGAGATACCTCTGATCTTTGACAAATCTCCTATCCATGCTTGGTACCAACATGAGCTAACTCCATGGCTCAAACCAACAGGACAATTTGCTAAGGTCTAGGAGCACCCCCTCCAGAGAATCCCTGATCTCCCAAAATTTGGTCGAGATCTAAAGTTCATTTTGTTGTACAACTCCCTCTATTATTATTATTATTATTATTATTATTATTATTATTTTGGAGTTTTACTTGCTTCCAACAAGGAAGGCAAGTTTTCCTGCTTCCATGACGAGGGAAGGCAGGTAACTCTTTTATGGAGTTTGAGCTCACTTCCAACAGGGAAGATGAGGGGTTTTTTTCCTACTTCTGGGATGGTAGACAGCCGTTTTCAGCCTGAGACGCACCCCTAGGTAAGTAGCTGAATAGGGATTTTTGTCTTGGCTAAAGTTAACAACCAGCTGGTCTTAATTTCTGCTTACCATTAGAGTGCTCAGTGATCATATTGTTGGGTTTTTTTTTATTTTGTTTGTCTTTTTCCCATTGACCAACTCTACTTCACTTGGTCAAATCCAAGTGAGAATTCCAAATTATGGGTAACAAGGCCTATCTAATTTGAGTAAAATTCCTCACAGCTGCAAAAGAAAAAACAAACAGAAAACAAAAAACCATGTATTTGGTTTCTGTGTTTGCTTCCTGGTCTTAAAAATTAAACTGTTCTTAGGCCGGGCGCGGTGGCTCACACCTGTAATCCTAGCACTTTGGGAGGCCGAGGCGGGCGGATCACGAGGTCAGGAGTTCAAGGCCAGCCTGGCCAACATAGTGAAACCCTGTCTCTACTGAAAATACAAAAAAAATTAGCCGGGCATGGTGGCGGGTGCCTGTAATCCCAGCTACTCGGGAGGCTGAGGCAGGAGAATTGCTTGAACCAGGAGGCGCAGGTTGCAGTGAGTGGAGATCGAGCCATTGCACTCCAGCCTGAGCTACAGTGTGAGACTCTGTCTCAAATTAAAAAAAAAAAAAAAAAAAATTCAATTGTTCTTTTGTTTACTTTTCTTCCACCCTATACCTCCTTCACCCTTTGCCATCTGCATTACCAAAAAATCGAGAGAAGGCTTCTAATGACTTGAACCTCTTTAAAGAATTTAGGCCGGGCGCCATGGTTCACGCCTGTAATCCCAGCACTTTGGGAGGCCGAGGTGGGCGGATCACGAGGTCAGGAGTTCGAGACTCAGCCTCGCCAACATGATGAAACCCTGTCTCGACTAAAGATACAAAAAAAGTTAGCCAGGCATGGTGGCACGTGCCTGTAATCCCAGCTACTCAGGAGGCAGAGGCAGGAGAATCACTTGAACCTGGGAGGCGGAGGTTGCAGTGAGCTGAGATCGTGCCATTGCACTCCAGCCTGGGTGACAGGGCAAGACTCTATCTCAAAAAAAAAAAAAGAATTTAGAACAAAGGTGCCACTCACCCCCTTTTGGGGTGTTCTCTTGGCTTTGTGGGATTTCAAGAGTCATGGGCAGATTCTTCTTAGGTCTAAAGCTCTGTTTTCCTGTATTGCATGACCTGACCTTTTTGGCTTTGGGTGCCAGAGATGACCTTGCACTGTGAGAGGATTTGACCTTGGTGTGTATATTGTTGGAAAAGAGCTACAAAGTTACGGGTGGCTGAGCACAGTTTATAGGAAGTGGTTTTGGCTGTTTCCTTTTTTTTTTTTTTTTTTTTTTTTAATTTTCTCTCCTAGGAAGTCGTTGTTTAAGAATCCTAATTCTAGGCCAGGTGCGGTGGTTCACACCTGTAATCCCAGCACTTTGGGAGGCTGAGGCGGGCGGACCACTTGACCCCACAAGTTCAAGATTAGCCGGGCCTGGTGGTGTGCACCTGTAATCCCAGCTATTCGAAGGCTGAGGTAGGGCAATTGCTTGAACCAGGGAGGTGGAAGTTGCACTGTGCCGAGATCGTGCCACTGCACTCAGCCTGGGCGACAGAGCGAGACTCCATCTCAAAAAAAAAAAAAAATCCTAATTCTAGTTTGGAGATCCGTTCTGAAGGATCCTTTATATTGCTTTTTCTCCCAACATTAATCTCAATTCCGTTTGTCTGTGTGCATTTGCATGAGGAACTGAACTGTTGCTTTCATAGGTATATCAGAGACTGAGTTTTCTCAGCTCCAAAAAGAAAGGGCATTTGCCCCTCCCAACTGAAAGGTGCCCCTGAGTGACTGGGGACCTTGTGGGAGTGTCTGAAAGGTTGACCCCGAACGATGTGCAGTGGTCCTGCAGGGAAATCCCCAACAAAAATTAATTTAGGCCAGGTGCGGTCACACACACATAATCCTAGCATTTCAGGAGGCCGAGGCAGGCAGATCACTTGAGGTCATGAGTTCAAGACCAAGCCTGACAAACATAGCAAAACCGCATCTCTACTAATAATACAAAAATTAGCCAGGTGTAGTGGTGCGTGCCTGTAACCCCAGTTGCTTAGGAGACTGAGACGTAAGAATTGCCCGAACCCAGAAAGTGGAGGTTGCAGTGAACCAAGATTATGCCACTGCACTCCAGCCGGGGCAACAGAGTAAGACCTTGTCTCAAAAAAATATATATATATATATTTAATTTAAAAACTGGCTCATCCAGGAAACACATTGAAGGGCTGATCACCCAGTGTTGTGAGCCCTCTCAGAAGTCATAAACCTCTGGAGAGAGAAACTGAGACATGTAAGAGGGTGGAAACCATTCAGTGGTGGCACATTGTGGAGTCCTGCCCACAAGCAGCACGTGATGATCCACCACACAGAAACTCTAAGCCACAGCTCAGTTTCTCCTTTTAAGAAAAAAAGAAGTGGAAAACAAATAATCTAAGAATGAGAAGAAAACAAGGAGAATGACCCTCTTTTGAGCACTCTGTAGGTTTTATGGCACCTCTACTGCCAAAGTTTATGTAAAATGGAAAAAATATGGTCTTTGTGCACATTTACATTAAGAAAAAAGAGCCCTAAGGTCGACCTACTAATTATAGAGTTCCTAAGACCTCTTTTCTCTATTCTTTTCTGCCTGCTCTAAATCTGCCATTATTTTCTGTTAAGATAAAAACCACAGTTTAGATCCAACAAGTTCTTTTTGCAAACCGGTAAATTTGAATTTATCTCATAGCTAAAAGTTCTGAAGTAAAAGCTATAGGATGTGTGTGTGTGTGTATTTAAAAGGCTTTTATAATTTCTATAATTTTATGTTTAATTGGCCATTAAATCTGTTTCAATTTCCGTCTAGCACACCAGACTTTTTCTCTCCACACTTTATAATGTAAATTTTGCTGTTTGGAGTTCACCTGAGTTGTTTTCTTTAATATGCAAATTTAAGGCTATTTAGCTGACAACTGCCTAGGGTTGTGAAACAGGTTATCAAGAATCTGAAAGTAGCGGGGAGGGAGGAGGGGAAAAAAAGAATCTGAAAGCCTAAGGAAAAAAAACGTTTTTTATGAATCTATAAGAGGTACCTCTAGGCCAGGTGCAGTGGTTCACGCCTGTAATCCCAACACTCTGGGAGGCCGAGGTGGGCAGATCACCTAAGGTCAAGAGTTCGAGACCAGCCTGGACAACATGGTGAAACCTGTCTCTACTAAAAATACAAAAATAGCCAGGCGTGGTGGCACATGCCTGTAGTCCCAGCTACTCGGGAGGCCGAAGCAGAAGTATCACTTGAACCCAGCGGGTAGAAGTTGCAGTGAGCTGAGATCATGCCATTGCACTCCAGCCTGGGTGACAAGAGAAAAACTCTGTCTCAAAAAAAAAAAAAAAAAGATGTACCTCTATCAGCATGCCTAATGTGTCTATGTATTTATGTGTTGTGTACACAATGTTTCACTACTGAAAATATATAAAAGAGCTCTAATTAATTGGCGTAAGAAAATAAAAGTGCTTAAATCAAACACTTATTCAGGAAAAAATAAAATAGTCAAATGCTTTTTCAAGTTTACATAACTTAAGTAAAATCTTTACTAATGTTGATGAAAAAAATCAAACTCTGTAAAATATTTGAAGAGATTTATTCTAAGCCAAATATGAGTAACCATGGCCCATGACACAGCCCTCAGGAGGTCTTGAGAACATGAGCCCCAGGTAGTTGGGGTGCAGCTTGGTTTTATAAATTTTTGGGAGGCATGAGACATCAATCAAATACATTTAAGAAATACATTGGTTTGGTCCAGAAAGACGGAACAACTCAAAGGGGGGCTTCCAGACTATAGGTAAATTTAAACATTTTCTGGTTGAAAATTGGTTGAGTTTGTCTAAAGACCAGGGATCATAGAAAGGAAATATTTAGGTTAAGAAAAAACACTGTGGAGACCAAGGTTCTTTTGAAGTCTTATAGTGGCTGCCCTTAGAGAAAATAGATGACAAATATTTCCAATTCAGATCTTCAAAGGGTGCTAGACTTTTAGTTAATCTCTTTAGGATTGAGAGGGCCTGAAAGAAAAAGATTTAGCTATGTTAATAGAGATTCTTTATATATGCACATTTTACCCCACAAAGGACAGCTTTGCAGGCCATTTCAATAGATGGCAAAGAAACATGATTTAAGGTAAAATATTTTGTTTTGCTTCCTTGTCTCATAATGTTATGCCACAGTCAGGTTGGAAAGTAAGTCACAATATATAGGGTTAAGTAAAAACCATCTAATAATTTATTATTTGTAGCGCATGACTCCCCAGACCCCTTACACAGGAATTTGAGCAAGATATAAAATCAGAATTTAGTCCTCACTGAGCTAGGTTTAAAATTATTGTTACATTAATGTTAGAAATGTCTTAGGAATTGCCAGCATACATTTTTGTTTGTGTCAGGCCTCTGAGCCCAAGCCTGCACCTATACATCCAGAAGACCTGAGGAAGCTGAAGAACCACGAAAGAAGTGAAAATGGCCAGTTCCTGCCTTAACTGATGACATTAACTTGTGAAATTCCTTCTCCTGGACAATGAGTCTCAAAAGCTCCCCCACTGAGCACCTTGTGACCCCCACCCCTGCCCGCAAGAGGACAACCCCCTTTGACTGTAATTTTCCACTACCTACCCAAATCCTATAAAATTGCCCCAACCCTAACTCCCTTTGCTAACTCTCTTTTCCGACTCACCCCGCCTGCACCCAGGTGATTAAAAAGCTTTATTGCTCACACAAAGCCTGTTTGGTGGTCTCTTCACACGGACGCACTTGACATTTGGTGCCGAAGACCCAGGACAGGGAGACTCCTTCGGAAGACAGGTCCCCTGTCCTCACCATCACTCCATGAGGAGATCCACCTAAGACCTCGGGTCCTCAGACCAGCTCAAGGAATACCTTACCAACTTCAAATCGGGTAAGCGGTCTTTTCACTCTCTTCTCTAGCCTCTCTTGCTACCCTTCAATCTCCCTGTCCTTCCAATTCCAGTTCATTTTCCTCTCTAGTAGAGACAAAGGAGACACATTTTATCTGTGGACCCAAAACACCAGCGCTGGTCACGGACTTGAGAAAACAGACTTCCCTTGGTGTTTGATCATTGTGGGGATGCCTGCCCTGATCATTCACCCACATTCCATTGGTGTCTGATCACCGTGGGGACGCCTGCCTTGGTCATTCACCTACATTCCCTTAGTGGCAAGTCAATTGCAGGGATGCCTGCTTTGGCTGCTCATCCACATTGTAGTCCAGGGCTGCTCACCACCCCCCTACTTCTCCGTGTCTCTACCTTTCTATGGGCAACATTCCGCCCTCCATTCCCCCTTCTCCCTTAGCCTGTGTTCTCAAGAACTTAAAACCTCTTCAATTCGCACCTGACCTAAAAACCTAAATGCCTTATTTTCTTCTGCAATACCACTTTGCCCCAATACAAACTCAACAATGGTTCTAAATGGCCAGAAAACAGCACTTTCGATTTCTCCATCCTACAAGATCTAGATAGTTTTTGTTGTAAAATTAGGCAAATGGTCTGAGGTGCCTGACATCCAGGCATTCTTTTACACATCGGTCCCTCCCTAGTCTCTGCTCCCAGTGCGACTCATCCCAAATCTTTCTTTCTCTCCTGTCTGTTCCTTCAGTCTCCACCCCAAGCTAAGTCCTTTAAATCCTCTTCTACGGACCCATCTGACCTCTCCCCTCCTCTCCCCTCCTCCCAGGTGGCTCCTCGCCAGGCTGAGCCAGGTCCCAATTCTTCTTCAGCCTCTGTTCCCTGACCCTATAATCCTTCTATCACCTCCCCTTCTGACGCCCAGTCCAGCTCACAGTTTTGTTCCGCGACTAGCCCTCCCCGACCTGCCCAACAATTTCCTCTTAGAGGGGTGGCTGGAGCTGAAGTCATAGTCAAGGTTAATGCTCCTTTTTCTTAGCTGACCTCTCCCAAATCAGTTAGCATTTAGGCTGTTTTTCATCAGATATAAAAACCCAGCCCAGTTCATGGCCCGTTTGGCAAAATCCCTTAGACGCTTTATTGCCCTAGACCCAGAGGGTCCAGAAGGCCGTCTTATTCTCAATATGCATTTTATTACCCCATCCACTCCCGACATTAGAAAAAGCTCCAAAAATTATATTCCGGCCCTCAAACCCCACAACAGAACTTAATTAACCTTGCCTTCAAGGTGTACAATGATAGAAAAGAGTTGCAATTACTTGCCTCCACTGTGAGAGAAACCCCAGCCACATCTCCAGCACACAAGAACTTCAAAATGCCTAAACTGCAGAGGCCAGGCCTTACTATAGGACCTCTTCCCTCAGGATCTTGCTTCAAGTGTCGGAAATCTGGCCACGGGGCCAAGGAATGCCCACAGCCCGGGATTCCTCCTAAGCCGTGTCCCATCTGTATGAGACCCCATTGGAAATCGGACTGTCCAACTTGCCCGGCAGCCACTCCCACAGCCCCTGGAACTCTGGCCCAAGGCTTTCTGACTGACTCCTTCCTAGATCTTCTTAGCCTAGCGGCTGAAGACTGAAACTGCCCAATTGCCTCATAAGCCTCCTGGACCATCACAGACACTTTGGGTAACTCTTACAGTGGAGGGTAACTCTGTCCACTTCTTAATCAATACAGAGGCTACCCACTCCACATTACCTTCTTTTCAAGGGGCTGTTTCCCTTGCCTCCATAACTGTTGCAGGTATTGACGGCCAGGCTTCTAAACCTCTTAAAACTCCCCAACTCTGGTGCCAACTTGGACAATATTCTTTCATGCACTCTTTAGTTATCCCCACCTGCCCAGCTCCCTTATTAGGTTGAGACGTTTTAACTAAATTATCTGCTTCCCTGACTATTCCTAGGCTACAGCCATACCTCATTGCTGCCCTTTTCCCCAGTTCAAAGCCTCTTTTGCTTTCACTTGGACTGACCCTGACACCCATCAGACTCAGCAACTTACCTGGGCTGTACTGTGCAAGGCTTCATTGACAGCCCCCATTACTTCAGTCAAGCCATTTCTCATGATATGCTTTCTTTCCATCCATCTGCTTCTCACCTTATTGAACATTATGACAACCTTCTACGTTATAGCCCCTCCTACACATCTTCCAAACAGGACACTCTCTTGCTCTTCCAACATCTGTTCACGAAAGGACATCGCACATTCCCCTCCAAAGCCCAAATTTCTTCCTCATTCCTTACCTGTCTTGACATAATTCTTCATAAAAACACATGTGTTCTCCCTGCTGATCGTGTCCAGCTAATCTCCCAAACTCCAACCCCTTCTACAAAGCAACAACTCCTTTCCTTCCTAGGCATGGTTAGGTACTTTCGCCTTTGGATACCTAGTTTTACCATCTTGACTAAACCATTATATAAACTCACAAAAGAAAACCTAGCTGACCCCATAGATCCTAAATCCTTTCCCCACTACTCTTTCCATTCCTTAAAAACAGCCCTAGAAGCTACTCCCACACTAGCTCTCCCTAACTCATCCCAACACTTTTTCATTACACACAGCCGAAGTGCAGGGCTGTGTAGTTGGAATTCTTTTTTTTTTTTTTTTTTTTTTTGAGACAGAGTCTCAGTGTCTCACAGGGTGGTGTGCAATGGCACAATCTTGGCTCACTGCAAGCTCCACCCCCTGGGTTTATGCCATTCTCCTGCCTCAGCCTCCCAAGTAGCTGGGACTACAGGCGCCCGCCACCACACCCAGCTAATTTTTTTTTTTTTTTTTGTATTTTTAGTGGAGACAGGGTTTCACCATGTTCACCAGGATGGTCTCGATCTCCTGACTTCGTGATCCACCTGCCTCGGCCTTCCAAAGTACTGGGATTACATGCGTGAGCCACCACACCTGGCCACGGTTGGAATTCTTACACAAGGACCGGCACCGCGCCCTGTAGCTCCTCTATCACTCCCAACTATTCTTCTTCTGAAAACCTGCTCTACCAGATTTCATAATTTTTATTTTACTCTGTGGAAAGTTCATTCTTCCTGCCTCACAAGCCCAGTCTATTCTCTCTTCCCTTCATGACCATTTCCATGTAGGATATAAGCTTCTGGCTCACCTCCTACAGCCCCTCATTTCCTTCCCATCATGGAAATCCATCCTTAAAACCATCACTTCTCAATGCTCTGCCTGCCATGCCACCAGCCCCTAAGATTTTCTCAGGCCTCCTCCTTTTCCTACACATCAGGCTCGTGGATTTACTCCAACACAAGATTGGCAGGTTGACTTTACTCATATGCCCTGTGTTCGTTGGACAGCCAGCCTGATCTCTCCTCTTCCTCCTAGAAGTTGCAAGTACTCTCCCCTACTTCCTTTAAACACACTTGCATTTCTGAAGAACAGTAATAACCCTTATGAGCCTAATACATCCCTTCATTCTATTAGGTCTATTCATCCTTACCCTACTTTTTGCAACAGGGCTTTAGGCAGTCACCCCCACTACTTGGACTGTACCCCAAAAACTTGTCATCCCTACTATCTTCTATCTAGTCATACTCCTATTCACCATTCTCAACTACTCATAAATGCCCTGCTCTTGTTTACACTGCTGGTTTACACTGTTTCTCCAAGCCATCACAGCTGATATCTCCTGGTGCTATCCCCAAACCACCACTCTTGACTCCCTCTTGGAGTTGTTAGATGATCTTTGCTGGCAGGGCACCCTCCAATACTTTCACCCTGATGAAGTTCTATTCTTTACTTTTATACTCACTCTTATTCTCATTCCCATTCTTATGCCACCCTTTACCTCTCCCCAGCTATCTCCACCACACTATCAATCTCACTGTCTCTCTCCTAGCCATTTCTAATCCTTCTTTAACAAACAATTGCTGGCTTTGCATTTCTCTTTCCTCTAAAACCACTGAGGCCTCGACTTACTCACTGCTGAAAAAGGGGGACTTTTCATATTTCTAAATGAAGAATGTTGTTTTTACCTAAATCAATCTGGCCTAGTACCTGACAACATAAAAAAAAAAAAAAACCCTCAAGGATAGAGCCCAAAACTCACCAACCAAGCAAATAATCACGCTGAACCCCCTTGGGCACTCTCTAATTGGATGTCCTGGGTCCTCCCAATTGTTAGTCCTTTAATACCTGTTTTTCTCCTTCTCTTATTTGGACCTTGTGTCTTCCGTTTAATTTCTCAATTCATACCAAACCACATCCAGGCCATCACCAATCATTCTATACGACAAATGCTGATTCTAACAACCCCATGATATCACCCCTTACCCCAAAATCTTTCTTCAGTTTAATTTCTCCTACTCTAGGTTCCTACACCGCCCATAATCCCACTCAAAGCAGCCCTGAGAAACATCGCCCATTTTCCCTCCATACCACTCCCAAAAATTTTCACCACCCTAACACTTCACCACTGTTTTGTTTTGTTTTACTTATTAATATAAAAAGACAGGATTGTCAGGCCTCTGAGCCCAAGCCTGCACCTGTACATCCAGATGGACTGAGGAAACTGCAGAACCACAAAAGAAGTGAAAATGGCCAGTTCCTGACTTAACTGATGACATTACCTTGTGAAATTCCTTCTCCTGGACAATGAGTCTCAGAAGTTCCCCACTGAGCACCTTGTGACCCCCACCCCTGCCCGCAAGAGAACAACCCCCTTTGAGTGTAATTTTCCACTACCTACCCAACTCCTATAAAACTGCCCCACCCCTAACTCCCTTTGCTGTCTCTTTTTCTGACTCAGCCCACCTGCACCCAGGTGATTAAACAGTTTTTTTGCTCACACAAAGCCTGTCTGGTGATCTCTTCACACTGACACACTTGACAGTTTGCATTTATTAATCAAGGAATTTCAGACTTATCCCTGCCAAATACTGTAAGGTGTCAAAATTTGGCATAGGGTTTACAAAACTATAAACCTAGCCCAAAATGGAATAATCTTTGCTTCTGTGGCAAGGCACGGTGGCTCACACCTGCAATCACAGCACTTGGGGAGGCTGAGGTAGGTGGATCACCTGAGGTCAGGAGTTTGAGACTGGCCTGGCCAGTATAGCAAAACTCCATCTCTACTCAAAATACAAAAATTAGCCAGGCTTGGTAGCAGGTGCCTGTAATCCCAGCTACTTGGGAAGCTGAGGTAGGAGAATCTCTTGAACCCAGGAGGCAGATATTGCAGTCAGTTGAGATTGAGACTGAGCAGTGCTCGTAGAGCTGGAGCCCTGGCTCTGCAGCTGTGGTTTGGGCAGCTGCAGCAGACCAGGGAGCTCCCATCCCAACTCAGAAGGTCAGGACTTCCACCGGCTCCATGGAGTGTGTAGCCCCAGCCGTGCTTCCCTGCTGCAGCCAGCATGATGGCAGCAGCCACTGCCATCATTCCCCCCTCTGAAGAGGTATATCTAACTGCTGTTAGTATAGGGATGATGGCCACTGTTAACTGCTTCATGCTGAGAAGGGAAGTTGTTTTGGGAAAATGACAGTTTTCTCTCTCAGAGGCCTATCTAAGGGTCCCCAGTACAAAGGAGCCAATGTCCGAGTCTCCATTTTTATGACCATTTGGAGTTTGACGACCCATCCCTTGTTTCTTCTGAGCTGCAGTCTGAGGTCACTGGTTGGTTCACCCTACAATTGTTAAAAGCTACAAATAGCTCAAAAGAAAAACTTCCTTGATTATGAAAAACAGAACATAAGAATCAGCAGTGTTCCAAGCAAAAAGCAAAAGTCAAAAAAGATTAGTCTTCCATTAGTACAGTTCACCCAGTCAACTCCCGATCACAATCTCCAAAGTTACCAGAAACCTGCACTCAAGGGTTATAATCCACCCTTTAAAGAGGATCACACAAAACAATTGTCTATGACTGTCAAAATATCCTGGGTAATTACAGTCAAAAAACACAATTGACAAAAAAAAATTGGTCATCTCTGTGATTTATAATAATCTAACACAATAACCCTAATTATGATTGATAACACAAACTGAGACATCAGAACTCTAGAAATCCCATACAATAATGGAACATGCATTAACATTTTTCACTAAAATATAACCTGAAGATCAACCACCACCTTATTTCAACAATCCTATGTAACTAAACATGTCAAATAATCCTGTTTACCTCTCCTCTGGATGCTCCAGGAGCCCTCTGTTGCATCCAAAAGTCAGGGGTTAGGAGAGACAATTTTGAAGCTATAAAGGCTTAAAACACTTAATAGAAGTTTGGGTTGCCATAAGTCATCCATTTAAATGACTCAATTATTTTTTTAAAGCAAAAATCTTCACTCATCAAGTGTGAAGATGTAGTTTTCCAAACAATCTGTCCCTTGTCCTTCCCCTATTTTTTCGATAGTTTATTCATGAGGCAAACAGAAATCTTTTTCAAGAGAGAGAAAGCCAAATTTCAAATTTCACCCTTGCAATACTCTACTTTTTTTTTTTTTTTTTTTTTGAGATGGGGTCTCGCTCCATCACCAGGCTAGAGTGCAATGGCCTGATCTCGGCTCACTGCAACCTCCACCTCCCAGGTTCAAGCAATTCTCCTACCTCAGCCTCCCTAGTAGCTGGGACTACAGGCACTTGCCACCATGCCCAGCTAATTTTTGTATTTTTAGTAGAGAGGGGTTTCACCATGTTGTCCAGGATGGTCTCAATCTCTTGACCTCCCGATCCACCTGCCTTGGCCTCCCAAAGTGCTGGAATTACAGCCATGAGCCACTGTGCCTGGCCTACAAATTTTTGTTAAAGAGCATGTCAGTGAGTCTTCACTGTTCTGCGTCCTCTGCTCCTAGAGGCCCATCCTCTGTGGCCCTGTGACCTGCAGGTATTGGGAGATCCACAGCTGAGACGCTAGGACCCCCTGGAAGCCTAGAAATGGGAGTGTTGACATTTAGGGATGTGGCCATAGAATTCTCTCTGGAGGAGTGGCATTGTCTGGACACTGCACAGCAGAATTTATATAGGAATGTGATGTTAGAGAACTACAGAAACCTGGTCTTCCTGGGTATTGCTGCCTCTAAGCCAGACCTGATCACCTGTCTGGAGCAAGGAAAAGAACCTTGGAATGTGAAGAGACATGAGATGGTAGCTGAACCCCCAGTTGTATGTTCTTATTTTGCCCAAGACCTTTGGCCAAACCAGGGCATAAAAAATTGTTTCCAAAAAGTGATACTGAGAAGATATAAAAAATGTGGACATGAAAATTTACAGTTAGGAAAATACCGTAAAAGCATGGATGAGTGTAAGGTGCATGAAGAATGTTGCAATGGATTTAACCAGTGTTCGAGAACTACCCAGAGCAAAATATTACAATGTGACAAATATGTGAAAGTCTTTCATAAATTTTCAAATTCAAACAGATATAAGATAAGACATACTGGAAAGAAACCTTTCAAATGTAAAGAATGCGAAAAGTCATTTTTCATGCTTTCACACTCAGCTCAACATAAAAGAATTCATAGTGGAGAGAAACCCTACAAATGTAAAGAATGTGGGAAAGCCTATAATGAGGCCTCAAACCTTTCTACACATAAAAGAATTCATACTGGAAAGAAACCCTACAAATGCGAAGATTGTGGAAAAGCCTTTAACTGGCTTTCACATCTTACTACACAAAAAATAATTCATACCGGAAAGAAACCCTACAAATGTGAGGACTGTGGCAAAGCTTTTAACCAATCTGCAAACCTTACTACACATAAGAGAATTCATACTGGAGAGAAACCCTACAAATGTGAAGAATGTGGCAAAGCTTTTAGCCAGTCCTCAACCCTCACTACACATAAGATAATTCATGCTGGAGAGAAACCCTACAAATGTGAAGAATGTGGCAAATCTTTTAACCAATCCTCAGTACTACACATAAGATAATTCATACTGGAGAGAAATTCTACAAATGTGAAGAACGTGGCAAAGCCTTTAGCCAGTTCTCACACCTTACTACACGTAAGAGAATTCATTCTGGAGAGAAACCCTACAAATGTGAAGAATGTGGCAAAGCTTTTAAACAATCCTCAACCCTTACTACACATAAGAGAATTCATTCTGGAGAGAAATTCTACAAATGTGAAGTATGTAGCAAAGCCTTTAGCCGGTTCTCACACCTTACTACACATAAGAGAATTCATACTGGAGAGAAGCCCTACAAATGTGAAGAATGTGGCAAAGCTTTTAACCTATCCTCACACCTTACTACACATAAGATAATTCATACTGGAGAGAAACCCTACAAATGTGAAGAATGTGGCAAAGCTTTTAACCAGTCCTCAACTCTTTCTAAACACAAGGTTATTCATACTGGAGAGAAACCCTACAAATGTGGAGAATGTGGCAAAGCCTTTAACCAGTCCTCACACCTTACTACACATAAGATAATTCATACTGGTGAGAAACCCTACAAGTGCGAAGAATGTGGCAAAGCCTTTAACAACTCCTCTATTCTTAACAGACATAAGATGATTCATACGGGAGAGAAACTCTACAAACTTGAAAGTTGTAACAATGCTTGTGACAACATCTCAAACATTTCCAAACATAAAAGAAATTGTGCTGGTGAGAAAACATAGAAATATGAATAATGTGACAAAGCCTTTAAATGGTTATCACACTTGCTTGTAGGTAAGGTAATTCATACTGGAGAAAACTTCTACAAGTGTGAACAGTGTGGCAAGACTTAAACAATGCTCACACCTTATTGCACAGGAAACCCTTTATACTTGAGAACAAATGTACAAATATAAAGAAAGTAAAAAAGTGATTAATATCTGCGCACATCTTATTCAACATCAGAGAGTTTATACTTAATAGCATTAAAAGTGCAATTACTGTCAAAAGACTCTTGAGAAAATGTAAGCCTTTAAAGTGCTGAAGAGGATTTATTTTGAAGACAAACATTACAAATATAAAGACAGTTTTAGTAACTTTACTTGTAACACAGATCTTGTTGTATTCACTTTGTACTAGAGGCAAACCCTGAAGCAATTACTCAAACTTTGTTCAACATCAGAGAATTTATATCGAAGAAAAACCCTGTAAATGTAATAAATTTAGAAAAAAACATTTATTCAAAAACTACAGGTTAGAAAACTCCAGAGAGTTCATAGTAAAATATATTTTTGCATATGCAGTAAATAGGAAAAAAAATTTAATCCAAAATTAAGTCTATGTAAATATCAGAGAATTTACATTAGAAATATATAAGGCACTGACACTTCAGATTTTACACTAAATCAGAGTTCTGAGTTTAGAAAATAATCCAAAACTAAAGTTGGTAGAAAAATTATTTGTATATAGCTTTAAAAGGGTAGAAGATTTTTTGGAGAGTTATAATTACATTACAAGTATACTTTTTTTGGAAAGCTTACAGATTTTTAAAAAAGTAATGTAATTAACTCTCAAATTACTTCATGTAAATAATGTTGTAATTAACTCAAATTACTTCATGCTAAATAAATTAATTAATTTCATTTTTTTTTTCTTTTAAGACAGAACCCCACTCTGTCGCCCAGGCTGGAGTGCAGTGGTGCTTTCTCGGCTCACTGCAACCTCCGTCTCCAGTGTTCAAGTGATTCTCCTGCCTCAGCCTCCTGAGTAGCTGGGATTACAGGCACACACCACCACACCCAGCTAAGTTTTATATTTTTAGTAGAGCTGGGGTTTTGCCATGTTGGCCAGGCGGGTCTCAAACTCGTGACCTCAGGTGATCCACCCAGCTTGGCCTCCCAAAATGCTGGGATTATAGGTGTTAGCCACTGGGCCCAGCCCATGCTGTTTCTCTATTCCTATTATATTCATCTGTGAAAGCGTATGACCAATTGTTGCTGCATCAAAGATATGAGAGGTTTTTTTTTTAGGTGAGTATTTATGACCTCTTCTATGAAAGAGTAATGACATTAAAATGTAAGATGCATGATGAAAATCTTAAGAGGTTCTTTGTGGTTCACTTACAGTATTGAGTGATGCATGAGGTAGGTATTCAGAGTAATATTCTGCATTATATTGAGACAAATATTTTTAGTTTTAGTTAAAATTAAAATAAGATATTATTTTACTAATTGTACTTTTATGAAACAAAATGCAATACATGTTAAAAATTTTATATTATGTGTGAAAATTTCTTAATTCAACATTTTTAACATGTTAAATATTGTGCATTCAATCAAGTCACATTATTCCACTTAATTTAACCTAGTCCACCTTACTTAAGGGTGTAGGTAAAAGATGGTAACAGTACACTATTTGGTAAAATAATGGACTAACGTCTCTAGTAATCTTTTTTGCCAGTGGCTTTAAACTGCAAATAAGTTAAGGAATATTGTTTCTGTAGGTAAAATTTTTATTTTTTTCCCATTTAAATTTACTTTTGTTAATGTTTTTTTGAGGGCACATAATATTTATGTTATATATGGCATATTCTGATAGAGAGGCATACAATATATAATTTATACTAATAATCACATTAGGATAAATGATGTATCCATCACCTCTAGAATTTATTTTTTGTATAATGAACAATTCAGTTCTACAGTTTTAGATAATTTCAAATGTATAATTAAATTGTTATTGACTACAGGTTTATTTTTATAATAATAAAAATTATATTCAAGTATAAACAAAATTTACACATTTTTGAGTCCTGAATAAATACTTTTAAAAATAAATAAATAAATAAATAATAAAGAGCATGTCAGTGCTTCAAGAAAACCATGTGCTTTTATTCCAGTGTTCAATTTATGGAGAAACCAAATAATACCCCTTTGAATTTAGTCAATGTGTTCACATACAAGATTCCTTTTACAAGATTAATTTTTATAAACCTTCTATAACTTGTTTGAACTTTTAGCTTTATCTTATCTAACTTAAACAATTCTTTAACCCTTTAAACTAGGCAAAAATTTACGTTCGCATGCCTTCTTATATTTTTTTACTAAAGACACATGTTACTTTGCTTATGCCTTGCATGAAAATCTATTTTCAGTAGTCTCCATTACATATTATAATGGTAGACAAATATAAAATCTAGAAAAAATGTATGCTGACAATTTTGAAGGACTTCTCTAATTTATGAGCTCTCTTTTACTTATATGCTTATAAGTGTACATACAAATAAACACACCTAGACCTGTATTTACACACACAAACTAAGATCCAATAGCTTAGTTTGGATCCATGGAACCCTAGCCATGAGATAGCAATACAAGCTCACAAGTTTTACTTTGTTTGCCCTCGTAGATAATCCAATGAAGGCTGTGAACCAAAATTTCGGGTAAAGCAGTTTCCATGGTAATTTGATGTAAAGGCCAAACCTCCCCAGACTCCAAAGAATACTTGGACCAAAGAGCACCAAAGGAGAACATCACACATTAACCAGGCCCCCTGCTTAGAACAACAGCACAAAAGCCTGTATACATGTAATGCCATCCCACTTTCCCATTCAACAGTAACCTTCAGATTCCATACAATACTGGGGGCCAAGCAGTATTGCAACTGTGAGAGAAAAGTCTAAGGAGGGTTCAGTACTAGACCTCAGAATCTTTGCCAAGGGCATCCTCTTTGGAGAGGGCGATGTCTGGAGGATCCCGTGGGGCGTCCCCCTTTGGGATCCAATCTTGGAGTGTCAGATATCTCTGACCTTAGGTGGGCACCGGTGCCACTTTATGTTTTCCCCCCAAAGGCAATGGCCTAACTATGAGCCTTACAAGGCCACACTTTCCCATGCTTTCCATTCCACTAGAGTGATAGCCATGAACTAAAAGGCATTACAGCTTTACTATTCTTTCAAAATATTTGATCTAAGTGCTATTTTTCTTTCATTTTTTTATTTTTTGAAACAGAGTCTCACTCTGTCACCCAGGGTGGAGTGCAGTGGCACAGTCTCGGCTCACTGCAACCTCTGCCTCCTGGATTCAAGTGATTCTTGTGTCTCAGCCTCCCAAGTAGCTGGGGCTACAGGCACAAGCCACCACACCTAGCTAATTTTTTGTATCTTTAGTAGAGACGGGGTTTCACCATGTTGGCCAGGCTGGTCTCAAACTCCTGACCTCAGGTGATTCACTCACCTCAGCCTCCCAAAGTGTTGGGATTATAGGCATGAGCCACTGTACCAAGCCTAAGCACTATTTTTCTTTTTTCTTTTTCTTTTCTTTTTTTTTTTTTTTGAGATGGAGTCTCACTTTGTCACCCAAGCTGGAGTGCAGTGGCATGATCTTGGCTCACTGCAACCTCTGCCTCCTGGGTTCAAGTGATTCTCATGCCTCAGCCTCCCGTGTAGCTGGGACTACAGGTGCGAGCCACCATACCCGGCTAATTTTTTGTATTTTTAGTAGAGACAGGGTTTCACCACATTGGCCAGGCTGGTCTCAAACTCCTGACCTCAAGTGATCTGCCCGCCTCAGCCTCCCAAAGTGCTGGGATTACAGGCATGAACCATCGTGCCCAACAGTGCTATTTTTCTTTAAGCCAATCAGTTAGAGCTCTTTTATGTAAACATCACACATGACATATATATATCTACACAAACGGAGATCCAGTAGTTGTAAGATTTTTCATGTGCCAATCTGTTTTGTTTTGTTTTGTTTTGTTTTTTTGAGATGGAGTCTCGCTCTGTCACCCAGGTCGGAGTGCAGTGGCATGATCTCAGCTCACTGCAAGCTCCGCCTCCCAGGTTCACGCCATTCTTCTGCATCAGCCTCCCTAGTAGCTGGGACTACAGGCACCCACCACCATGCCCGGCTAATTTTTTTGTATTTTTAGTAGAGACGGGGTTTCACCATGTTAGCCAGGATGGTCTTGATCTCCTGACCTCATGATCCACCCACCACGGCCTCCAAAAGTGCTGGGATTACAGGCGTAAGCCACCGCGGCCGGCCTCATGTGCCAATCTCTTAATTGCATTGCTGGCCCTGGGGTGGAGCCCTTCAAGAACCAGGGCCAGGAAAACATAGTTTCTGTGGTCTAATAAGTAGGCATAGCTGGAAGATTAAAAAAAAAAATTGAGAGGGATCCATCCACCTCTAATCTCTGAGGCTCTATCAGGAAAACAGAGGTTTTTCCCAAAAACAGGTCAGTGGCACCTCCTCCATTTTCCCAAGGAGTCCTAGGCCATCTGAGGTTAAGTTGGGGCCCCTCATGTTGCACATAAAGAGTGGCAAGACACAAATGGAGAATTCAGTTGACTGAGAAGAAAAAACCTTTTCCCAAAAACAAGATCCACGAAGGGAAAAGACATAAAGGCCTTTTACATATACCTATAGCTTGGATATCCATGGACATCTACTTTTAATTAAGCTGACTTTTAATTAAGCTGACTTAACTAACACTCCTTTCTTAAGAAGTCCTAAGTCTCTTATTACCCAACTTCAGCCATGCCACAAAGGCCAACACTTCTGGCTTTTGAACTCATGGAGGGGTAGAGAATATAGTGATTTTTATCATTCCTGCAACCAGTTTGCCCACAGAGAAGCCAGAAGTCCAACTGGTAAGAATTTTTACCCTTTTGCTGGCATTCAGACTTCTGGGTTCCCTTCCCCCAAGCCATGGAGCCCTACTGACTCTAAAGTCCTGTTCAGTGATTTAGGATGTGCCCACGGAGTGCAGGCTGAAAATGATTGGTTGGTTACCCATCTGGAAAGAGGGGAAAAAGGCATCCTTTGTTCCTCTCTCTTCCCAGTGAATACCCGGGGTACGTGACACAGAGCAGAAAAGGCATTCCTCTTTCTTTTTTCAAGCTTATATACCTGAGTCCTGGCAACCTGTTCAAGTCCCAACCATGGGTGCAAGTGTGACCTTCATCCATGAAGTGGGAGGCATAGCCAACAGGAATATTCACACTCACCTGAGCAGAGCCTAAGCCTTCCACTGTCAGTAACCTTTGAGTTCCCTGGACCTTATCTATGCCATGGATGCGAGCATGACCTCCATCCATGAAACGGGAGGACCTAATTAGCGGGAATTAGTCATACTCACCTGCACTGTGCCCCTCAACTCCCACTGTCATCTACCTCAGGTCTAGTATTCCATTCCAGGGTTTCAAACTGAAGCTTGGGACAAAAAGGTGCCAAAAAAGGAGGGTGGATGAATCCTTTAAATTAGTCCCAGATGGTCCTCACCAAATTGCAGCTAGCAACTGCCAGGAGCTGCTCCTCTGTTGCCTGCCTATCAACAGCAGGTGAAGCTGTGGGGCCAGGTCCTCCTGAAACAAGGGAGATAAAGGGAGTCCCAGGAATTGGGGACCTAGCCTAAGAAGGCGACAATTAAGAGGCTGGGCTTTTCCTGAGATGACCCTCACAGTCATGCTAACAGAGGAGGGGGTCTATATTGGAGAAGGGGCCTAGATTGGAGAAGAGACCTGAATGGCCCACTCAAGTCCAGGAGGAAGCCCATCCTCCTTCTCTCGATCCCCTAAATCACCCGAGGCTCCAGGATGGCAATAGCAGTCTGAATCACCAAAGTCAGGGAAAGGAACCCTGGGACCCATCAGCCCTACTGTACCATTTGGGAGACCGGCCCTGGACCTGGCAGCCCATGTCTCAGGGACAGCTAGCCCTCCAATGGTTTGCATTTACAGCAGCCAACAGGTACAGCTTAGGAATTCTGAGGTTTGTGCAAGGTGGCTATTAGAGCCTTTGCCTTTTTCTTGTGTCTCCTTGCTCTCGGGCTTCCTGATCTCTGTTGTAAAAGACCAAGGTGGCCACTTTCAGGAGGTCCTCTAAAGTATTACCCGGTCTTATGGACTTTTCTGCAGTTTCCTCCTGATATCAGGGGCTGACTAAGTAATAAACTCATCCCCTAGGACCAGCTGTCACCCTATTGAATCAAGAGATAGGTGTGTTTTACCAAGACCCCTCTTAGCCTTTCTAGGGAGGCAGTGGGACTCCCACCCAATTCTTGATCTACCATGGATAGTCCACTGCAATTGAAAGGCCTAGGCCCATTCCCAGGCAAGCCCACAAGTATGCACGCCTGAAAGAGTTTCTTCCTCCATTCTCCCATTTCATCATTGGGGTCCCATTTAGGGTCCTCCAATGTTAGTGCTATTCTTCCAACTAGATAAGGCTCCTCCCCTTCCCTGGCCCTATGCAAGATGTAAAGCTCATTCCCAAAATTTTTTGCCACTTGCCAAGAATGGCCTGCTTTGCAGCATTGGTCAGGGTTTGATTGAAAAGTAACATGGTGATCCTTCCAGGAGAGCTCAAATACTTGGGTTAAGCTCTGGAAGGCCTATATATAACCTTAAGGGCCATCTGAAAACCTGCCAAGATCCCCCTTAATTTGCAATAAGCCCTGAAGAGAAAGGGGGACTTGGATCTTAATGGGGCCATATTCACCAGGCATCTGTTGTAGGGGCAGTTGAGACTGGGACCTGCCTAAAACCAAGATTCCTAGGCTGGGATAAGCTTGAGAGAAGGAGTGGAGGGGATTGATTCCCCTGCTGGTGGTAACTTTGGGGTTTTCTTCCCCAGTTCTCTGGGATTACCCCTTGAAGTCTCTCCTAAGATGGCCACTAGGAGGGCTGAATCAATGCTACAATGTTGGTAATGGTCTGCAAAGGAAAGAAGGCCTGCACATAAGGGACCTTGGACCATTTGCCCTCATGTTTACAGAAAAGCTTCCTTCCTAAGGCAATGGTTCTTTTCTGTGCCTCAAGGTGCTAAGTTGGCAACCAAGTAAATTACAAGAACATTTTCACCACAAATTTACTTACAGATACGAAGGCACACTTTGCTTCATCTGTGCTACTCTAAACCTTCCACTTTATACTTTTGATGACTAAGCAAAATGCTCATTCTGCCCAGTAATATTTCTGGTTTGCAACATTTTTAACATTTAACATTGTGTATAAGAGAGGAAACCCCAAAGAAAGAAAGAATGATAGGAAAGACTGGAGGTCCTACTGCCAACACCCTAATGGGTGGTCAGGGACTGGAGTCAGTCCAGGGGCATTTGGATAACACCGAGGTGTAGCCTCAGCCAGATACCCTCAGTTACCCCACGGCCTCCTTCTGGTCCCACGCAACAGCTAGACCTCTGTGAAGGGAAACTATGTTGGAATGAAAGCCAACATTCCCACAACCGAGGGTGAATGGGGATTGACACTGTCCTCCCCAGCAAGCCTGTCCTCCACCAGCCACACTAGTCACTTTTAACTGGCTAGCAGAGGCCCGGTATTTTTCTTTCATTTTGACTATTGTGGAGTTTAGAGACTCCGAAAAAAAGAACAGAAAGATTTGCTTTTTTTCACCCTTCTGCAGACCCCAGACAGCCCCCAAAATTTTACAGAATCTCTAGGGTGTCAATTCTTCTGGCTGGAAACCTCTTTGGCTGTGGTGTCTTTGCCTGAGTTCTTGTCCTGCATACAGAAAGAATGAGGTACACAGATAAGTGAAGGGTGAAGAAGAAGAGTTTTATTTAGTGTTGGAACAGCTCAGAGGAGTGAGTAGCTCCTCTCTATAGGCAGGTCGTCCTGACGAGTGTTCAGCTCTCAGCAGAGGTGAGGCCCTGGAACAGGTGGCTCCTCTTTGCAGGCAAGTCATTTGGATGTCTCTCAGTCTCTGAAGTTCTCAGCAGAGACAGTAGCTCCTCACTGCAGCAGGTCCTCCCATCCTATTGTCTCTCTGCCCTCTTTGTCCTCTGGCAGTCCTCTGCCCTGCTCTGTCTGAGCCCAGGGCTTTTATGGATCTCAGAGAGGAGGAAATGCCTGCCAATTGGTCCACAGGTGACCATGAGCAGCCACGGGTGGCCCAGAAATGGCACCACGTGCCTCCACTCTGGTCTGTGGGACTGGCGGCACGGCCCCGTTTTCGGGTCCTCCCTGGTCTGAAGGTAGGGCCTTACTGGGGACCCATCCCCTTCCACTCAGGAATCAATCTGCTTCCCACTGCCATTCATGGCCCCAGGGCTCGACCCCAACCCCCACTCCAAGATGGGAGCAGGAGCCAGGAGGGGAGAGAGGCCAGGAAATGGGAGCAGAAACCCCTGAACCCACAAGGATGGGGGTCCTTCCTGGGGCCCCCGAGGATGCAGACTACAGAGACACCCAGGTCCTCTGCCTGGGAGGGCAGCAACACCCACACCAGGAGCTCCTGCCCTGCCAACCTGGAAGGGGCGGGGCTCCCACTAGTCGCCAGCTCATGCCTGCTTCCTGGAACAGGAGGCCCAGGTCTGCAGCCCCGGGTGCAATGGCTACAGCTGCACCAGGTAGGGCAGATCCTGCCTGTTCCCGCCTCCCGCAAGAGCACAGGGAGGCTCGGATCCACAGCTGCAGTTTGGGTGGCTGTAGCCCCGCCCAGAAGGGCATGGCTCCTGCCTGCTCCATAGAACAGGAGGCCTGGCTCTGCAGCTGTGGTTTGGGCAGCTACAGCAGATCAGGGAGATCCCATCCCAACTCAGAAGGGGCAGGGTGGCTGGGCGCAGTGGCTCACGCCTGTAATCCCAGCACTTTGGGAGGCCGAGGCAGATGGATCACGAGGTCAGGAGATCGAGACCATCCTGGCTAACACAGTGAAACCCCGTCTCTACTAAAAATACAAAAAATTAGCTAGGCGTGGTGGCATGCACCTGTAGTCCCAGCTACTCAGGAGGATGAGGCGGGAAAATCGCTTGAGCCCGGGAGGCGGAGGTTGCAGTGAGCTCAGATCGGGCCACTGCACTCCAGCCTTGGCGACAAAGGGAAACTCTGTCTCAAAAAAAAAAAAAAAAAAAAAAAAAGAAGAGGCAGGGCTCCCACTGTGGCTCCACAGTGTGCAGCCCCAGCCGCTGCACTTCCCTGCTGCAGCCAGCATGATGGCACCAGCCATTGCCATCACCTGCTACCAAGGATGGTGAGGCAGGAGGATGCTTGAGCCCAGGAAGTTGAGAATACAGTGAACTGTGATCATGCCACTGCACTCCAGCCTGGGTGACAGAGCAAGACCCTGTCTCAAAAAAAAAAAAAAAAAATGCTGCTCTGTCTATGGAGTAGCCATTCTTTAATTCCTTTACTTTCTTAATAAACTTGCTTTCACTTTGCACTGCATACTTGCCCTGAACTCTTTCTTGCGAGAGATCCAAGAACCCTTTCTTGCTCTCTTGGGGTCTGGATCAGAACCCCTTTCCTGTAACATATTTCTGGTGACCACAGAGGGGACTATAGTGCAGAAACCCTGACCCAACGGCTACCTTTGGGTAAGTGTTGGCGTCCTGTGACAGCTTTCTCGTGAACCACAAAAGGGACAATATTGAGGAGACCCCTGATCCAAAGGAAATAGACTGCAACACTGATTGGACGACTTTGGGTAAGTGGTGGGGTACCAGGGTAAAGAATAGGTTTGAGTTAGAGGCTCAACTTAGAGGAATTAGGGTCTCTTCTAGGACAGAGTGAGTTAGAGGATCCTCTTAATAAAAGGCAAGGATGCTTGACCAACCTCGGGTTAGAAGCCCGACTTAGGAGAGTTAGAGTCCCTTCTAAGATTTAAGGGGTTAGAGGCCCCTCTCGGTAAAGTCCCTCTCAGCACTATGGGATGTTAACTGCTATTCTCTTTGGATTAATCTGCCTTGCACTTTTTGCTGATGGCTGTAGGTGACAGAGTTAGGCATGTACAGGATTGTGGGACATGTGGAGCTTTTTCCTCTCCTTCACAACAGCAGCCACAGCCACCTGAACTTTTCAGTGTTGCTGCAGTGGGTGGGTCTTTCTCTGGCCTCCCTGAGCATTTCACCTTACCCACACCCTGCCACCGACAAAGCCTTTCTCTCTCTCCTTTCCCTTTCTTATCTTTTCTGTTACTCAGGGCAACCATCTTGCCCAGAGACCACGTGTTGAAACTCCAAGTCGGGAATTGGATTAAAGATGATGGGGCCCATCTAGGGGGAACCTTAAGCCTTGCCAGTTTGATATTGGGTGCTAAGCAGAGTGGCCAATGTCTATGTTTTATCACTCGTGTTTTGCTCTAGCCAGATTGGAAAAAAAAAGAAAATTTCCTTTGTGATGCAGCTTGGCCCCAGGGCAATGGTGTCGCAAGCTAAATCACTAAGGCCGCTCAGGGAAAGGGAATCCAGAAGCCTGGCGTGCCGGCAAAAGGGTAAGAATTTCTTAACAGTCAGATTTCTGGCTTTTCTCTCTGTGCAGACTGTTGAATGAATGGTTAAAAAAAAAATGGGGGGTGGGTGCGGTGGCTCACACCTGTAATCCCAGCAATTTGGGAGGCCGAGGTGGATGGATCACAAGGTCAGGAGATCGAGACCTTCCTCCCTAACACAATGAAACCCCGTCTCTACTGAAAATACAAACAATTAGCTGGGCACCGTGGCACGTGCCTGTAATCCCAGCTACTCAGGAGCCTGAGGCAGGAGAATCACTTGAACCTGGGAGGCAGAGGTTGCAGTGAGCCAAGATCGTGCCATTGCACTCCAGCCTGGGCAACTAAGCAAGACTCCATCTCAGAAAAAAAAAAAAAAAAGAATCAGTGTTTATCTCCTCTGTAAAGTTTTGATTAATGGAAAAAAGAATTCTAAGGCTAGTCTTAAGCTGGTGTATTTTGTGCTATAAATTTGTTTTTCTGTGTCAAGGGGTACTTTAGGATAAAACACAGGCTTAAAATACCTGTAAGCAAGCCCACTTTTCAAGATGAGCCAGCAAGCTGGTCAGTAACACTCTTAGCTGCAGTTTTGAAACAAACAAAAAAACTGGATGAAGTCTTTACCGTTTTATGTCCTTGGGAGCTTGAACTTTTAACCACGTGGCGATACTTTCTTTTGGTTTCCACCTTCAGGGAACAGGAATTTTAGGGTTCATGTCATAGCCCTAAAAATCATATTAAATAGTTAAAAGCCTTTGCAAGTTCAAAATTAACTACTGTAGGTTTCTTCTAGGAAAGAAAGTGGTCACTGCCGCTTTATGTAGCTCAGTGGTCAAGATTTTGCACTTTCACATGTGGCGATCCGGGTTCGATTCCCCACCTAGGAAGTAAGTAGTTTCTGGTTTAATATCTGTGTGACCTTGTCTATTCTCTTCTCTTCCATGGACTGTCAAATTTTGCCTTCTGTAAGTACCTAGGAGGTTACCTTTGGTAAAGTTAAGAAGCTAGAAATATCAGCTCACTGCATCCTCTGCCTCCTGGGTTCAAGTGATTCTACTGCCTCAGTACCCTGAGTAGCTGGGGTTACAGGCCTGTGCCATTACACCCGGCTAATTTTTGTATTTTCAGTAGAGTCAGGGTTTAACCATGTTGGCCAGGCTGGTCTGAAACTCCTGAAGCTCCTAAAGTGATCCACCTGCCTAGGCCTCCCAAAGTGCTAGGATTACAGATGTGAGCCACCACACCCAGCCACATTTTTTTTAAATAAATAGAGACAGGGTCTCACTATATTGTCCAGGCTGGTCTCCAACTCCTGGCCTTGAGTTTTTGTAGGCAGGCACTTTAAGAGGGGATAGGGTTATCCTGAGGATGTGGCCTTTAGCTATTAGAAATTATGTTATTGCCTGTAATCATAATACTTTGGGAGGCTGAGGCAGGAGGGTTGCTTGAACCCAGGAGTTTAAGACCAGCACCAGCAACATAGTGAGATGCTGTCAAAAAATATATACACATATACAAAAATAAAATGTAAATTAGCTAGGTGTGGTAGTACATGCCTTCAGTACCAGCTACTTGGGAGGCTGAAGTGGGAGGACAGCTACAGCCCAGGAGGTCGAGGCTGCAGTGAGCCATGATTGTGCTTCTGCATTCCAGCCTGGGTGACAGAGTGAGACACTGTTTCTAAAAAAAAAAAAAAAAAAGATAGCCAATATGAAAGCATGAATGATAAAACCCTTTGCAAACGATATGGATTATCCTTGGAAACTGAGCACAAACTCATGGTAGAGGCAGGAGGCAAACATGACGTGTTTGCCTGGGTGCTGTCAGTCGTCTTCCTATAGCACACTTCTTATCTTGGTCTAGCCACACTGACATGATTTATTTTCCTCGAAAGTATGAATCCATTCCTGCTTTTCTTTTTCCCCCAAAATGAGTCTTGCTCTGTCACCCAGGCTGGAATGCAGTGGTGCAATCTCGGCAAACTGCAACCTCTACCTCCTGGGTTCAAGCAATTCTCCTGCCTCAGTCTCCCGAGTAGCTAGGATTACAGGTGCCCACCACCACACCCAGCTAATTTTTGTATTTTTAGTAGAGACGGGGTTTCCCCACGTTGGCCAGGCTGGTCTCTAACACCTGACCTTGTTATCCACCCACCTTGGCCTCCCAAAGTGCTGGGATTACAGGCGTGAGCCACCGCACCAGGCCCCGTTCCTGCTTTTAAGATCTCTGCACTTATTATTCCCAGTGCTTCAACAATTTGCCTCAAGATCTTTGGCCATCTGGCTCCTATCATTCAGGTTAAACTCACAGGTACCTCCTCAGTAATGCCCTCCCTGGCCATTCCAACTAATTGGGTCCCCATTACTCTCTATCACATTATCTTGTTTTCATTAAGGCACTCCCTGAGTTATCTACTCATTTATCCATTTTTATTTATTGCCTGACTCCCCTATCCAGAATATAATTTTTTTTTTTGAAACGGAGTCTCACTCACTCTGTTGCCCTGGCTAGAGTGCAGTGGCATGTTCTCAGCTCACTGCAACCTCCGCCTCCTGGGTTCAAGTGATTCTCCTGCCTCGGCCTCCCCAGTAGCTGGGACCACAGGTGTACAACACCACAGCCAGCTAATTTTTGTATTTTTAGTAGAGACAGGTTTCACCATGTTGACCAGGCCAGTCTTGAAGTCCTGGCCTCAAGTGATCTGCCTGCCTTGGCCTTAGAGGCATGAGCTACCACACCCAGCTTGGAATGTTATCAATTTTTAAATTGTTTCCTCTCTTGTTATATAAATTTGTTTCCTCTCTTGTTATATAACTTTGAAATTTGTTTCCTCTCTTGTTATGTAACTACCTACATAATAATGTGCCCCTGACAGAGCCTGAGGAAGTCCTGATGACATGTGCCCAAGGTGGTCAGGGCACAGCTTGGTTTTATATATTGTAGGGAGACATGAGATATCAATCAATATGTGTAAGAAGTCCATTGGTTCTGTCCAGAAAGGTGAGGAAAACTCAAAGCAGGGAGAGGGCTTCCAGATCACAGGCAGATGAGAGAAAAACGGTTGCATTCTTTTGAGTTTCTGATGAGCCTTTCCAAAGGAGGTGATCAGAATACATATCTATTTCAGTGAGCAGAGGGATGACTTTGAACAGAACGGGAGGCGGATTTGCCCTGAGCAGTTCCCAACTAGAATTTTTCCTTTAGCTTAGTGATTTTGGGCACCCAAGATATTTTCCTTTCACATTTCCCCACTTTTCAAAAATCTTTTGGAGAAAGCATTTTAGAAGAAAATGAGTATCTGCTCTTAGGTTTCTTCTGGATAGGATAGTTTATTTCTAGACAGGTAGATCCCAGAAGCTCATTTTTGGCAGGTTTTGAAGCCTCATGTCCTGTGAAAAGAAAATAGGGAGAGAAAGGGAGAAAAAGAGCAATCGTGCAAAATCAATATAGGTCATATTACTCTAAAGTCTATACATCAGTAGGCAGATATGAAACAGGCTTATGTATGTAAGTCAGTTGTTATTTTCTTCTGAGGTTTAAGTTGTCTAGTTTCAGTTTGCAGGGCTTTAAGAAAGCACAGCTTAGTTTTCAGTGACTCCAAATTAGAAAAAAAAAATGGGGAAAAAAGAAGGAAAAAACAAGAAAAATTGAAAACATTATTTTGAAGATTTGTAGAAATTTTGAAGAAAAAATTAGAATTCAGCCCATACTGTAGAAAATTATAAAAATTGAAAAACATCAGGCAAGACTAGACTCTAACAACAGATGTATTATAGTTTTTGAAACATAATTTTTCTCTCTCTCATTTTCTAATTTTACTAAGGACAAATTATGATAGGACTGATTTGCTTTATTATACTTGGCCAGATTATTTGTATAAAATGCAGCAAGAATAATTATTTTTCACGTAGGCTTGTTTTTTTTTAATTGGCTTTGATGGAGCTTTGTTTTGTAGAAGGAAACTCAGATAAGACTTTTTTTGAAGCTGAGCCCAGCCATGGATTTGTGCCATCAAATACCTATGAGTTCAGTGATCCTCTCCTCTTGAGGTTCCAAGATAAACTTGGGGCTCCCTGGCCTGTTAGAAAGTGACAAAGTTTACTTACCGCAGGTTAGGAACCCTGTATAGGGAAGGTGTAGGGCCAGTTTCACCATGGGGCTTTATTTGCTCCATAAGTCAAGTTTAATTCCTTAAAGGAAAGCATACCATTCCAGTCAAAGCCTTGGTAAAATAACCAGTTCCTCCCATTGCATCCTGTTACAAATGAAAACAGATTCTTTTTTTTTTTCAGACGGAGTCTCACTCTATCACCCAGGCTGGATTGCGTGGCATGATCTTGGCTCATTGCAAGCTCCACCTCCCAGGTTCATGCCATTCTCCTGCCTCAGCCTCCCAAATAGCTGGGACAACAGGCGCCTGCCACCATGCCCGGCTAATTTTTTTTGTACTTTTAATAGAGACGGGGTTTCACCGTGTTAGCCAGGATGGTCTCGATCTCCTGACCTCGTGATAGCCCATCTCGGCCTCCCAAAGTGCTGGGATTACAGGTGTGAGCCACCGCGCCTGGCCGAAAACAGATTCTTATTGTACTTATACAAATAACTGCATTGCCATAAGTTAAGAATACTCACAAATAGTTTCCAAATTCTGGAGAAATCAGGTAGAGAGAAATATATATGCTCCAAATTTTGTTCACAGGAATACACTAAATTGTTAAAAGCTGTTAATAGCTCAAAAGAAAAGTTCCAAGTCTCTAAAAAACAAAACAAAGGATTAGCAACATTTAAAGCAAAAGTTAAAAAGATTAGTTTTTTATCAGTTCAGTTTATGCAATTAACTCGTGTTCTGCTTGCTATTCGTTAACATTTTAGATCTCCATCCATGACAGTCTTAAAAGGTTTTTTTCCCTCTATTCTAATGTCACAATCTCCAAAGTTATCAGAAACCTGCATTTAAGAACTCCTGTTAGAGTTCTGTGGCTGATTACAGAAACACCTTCTAAAGAGGACCAAAACAAGACAACAATTGTCCATGAATGACAGAAGGGTTTTGGGCAGCCATTGTCAAAAACAGAATTGACAAGGAAATTTGTTACCTCATGGCATATAATAATTCAACATAATAATTATAATTATTACTGATAATGTACACTAAGTTATATCAGAATTATGGGATTTTCCCATAATTTTGGAACACATATCAATAACATATTTATACAAATACAGCCCAAAGAAAACCAAACACCCTTTCATATTTGACAATGTTTCCTGTATAATTTTTGTACCAAATAAGCCAAATTATGTCATATTTAGACTTTAGGGAACTAATATCTTAAAGGATTAATTAGGTCAGAAAAAAACATAATTTACAATTTGATTTTGGAAACTGCATCAAATATCAAAGGTTTTAAACACTTGCTATTACAAAATAGGATAACAAGTATAATAATAATAAAAGAAAAAAAATAGGATTACAAGTTATTGTAACATAAGTCATTCAATTAACCAAAGTGATAACCCAAGGATTTTTTTTTTAAAGCTGAAAATGTTCATTCTTCAAGAGAGGAGATTTAATTTTCCAAACAATAAGCCCTAATAAAAAATTGAATGAGGCCGGGCGCGGTGGCTCACGCCTGTAATCCCAGCACTTTGGGAGGCCGAGGCGGGCGGATCACGAGGTCAGGAGATCGAGACCATCCTGGCTAACACGGTGAAACCCCGTCTCTACTAAAAATACAAAAAATTAGCCGGGCGTGGTAGCGGGCGCCTGTAGTCCCAGCTACTCGGGAGGCTGAGGCAGGAGAATGGCGTGAACCCGGGAGGCGGAGCTTGCAGTGAGCCGAGATCGCGCCACTGCACTTCAGCCTGGGCGACAGAGCGAGACTCCGTCTCAAAAAAAAAAAAAAAAAAATTGAATGAAGCCAATTAAATTTGTGTTTCCAAGTTTTGTAAACAATCTATAAAATTTTAACTTTGACCATAAGATATAGCTTCCATAAGCCTTTTATAACCTTTTAACCATTATTAAGGAGTCAGTTAATGCTTTAAGAAAACCTTGTTAATCTGACACAGTGGCCCATACACTAGTCTTGCATCAGTGTGCCTTTGATGTTAATGATTAATTTATAGAGAAACGGAAATTATTTTATCTTTCAAAATTGGCCCTTAGAATCTTACGTGCCCACCTCTTCTGTGATAGTCCTTGGGCCTTGAGTTGAATAGCCTTAATTTCTTACCCTGTGTGTTAGGAATGCAGTTTATTTTGATTGGCATCTTCTACAGGGCATGAAGATGAGGCTTTAATTGCTGTCAGTGTTTAAGATTTAGCAGGACTTAATGCCCTTTTTAGGCCCAGGAATCAAAGCCCTGTAACCCAATGTCACAAGGACTTTAAAAACACATACAGGAAGATACATGGATGTAATAACCTTAATTTTTTTAAAAAAATTTTTTTCTTAGGTTTTTTTTTCCAAGCAAATCAATACTTAATATGACAACTTGAACATATAAAAGTTTTTGTGTTTTTTTTTAATATAAATCCTCTTATTGTGACTTACACTGACTATTCATGACATGCTTGTACTTTCTGGGTTGTCCTGAACATCCCTCCTTAAACAACCAGTCATTTTATTTTAGGACTAAATTTACCATACAAGATTCTTTCTCATATGAAATCATTTATCTTTAAGCTTTCTTACAAAAAAAAAAAAAAACGAAAACAAAAATAAAAACAAAACACCTTTTTATTTTTATAACTTTCTTTGTATCTCTTTTATTTCCTGGTTCCTTTTACCTTGTTCTATACATAGCCTTTAAATAAGCTTTGAATTAGACAAAAATTTATTCATCTTTTTTAAAAAGGACACACTTTTTTTTTTAACAAGAATGTTTTCCTACAATATATATTTATTGGAAAATACCCAAATAATGAAATATCTATTATATAATTATTTTTTGTTTAGATGGAGTTTCACTCTTGTTGCCCAGGCTGGACTGCAATGGCACGACCTCGGCTCACTGCAACCTCTGCCTCCCAGGTTCAAGCGATTCTCCTGCCTCAGCCTCCCGAGTAGCTGGGATTACAGGTGTCCACAACCACGCTGGCTAATTGTTTGTATTTTTAGTAGAGACGGGGTTTCACCATGTTAGCCAGGCTGGTCTCTAACTCCTGAGCTCAGGTGATCCACTCACCTTGGCCTCCCAGAGTGCTGGGATTACAAGCGTGAGCCACTGCACCTGGCCTATTATTTAATTTAATATAACTTAAGATTCTAAATTATGACAAGTTTGTTTACAAGTATTCAGCCCATTACATTCACCTAATTATTTTAATTGTTTACTTAGATTATTTATGAAAACTACAATAGACATGATTTAAAGTTATGAAATCACCATTGCAAAATTATAACTGAGACAGTGAAAAAGATATGACCTAGCTGACTCCATCCTGCTTCTAATCTCCAAACTGTCCTTGTTCATTCCCGGACTTTGGGAGGAAGTTAGTTTATAGTTTAGGTTTGAAACAAAGATAGTAACAGTCCTTTCCCAAAACAAAGCTCCTTAAGGCCCACGGACTAGTCTGCCTAAAGGCACAAGATTAGAAGTTATGGTAATTTACTAAATAATTCAAGATGTAGTTATTGTCATTAAACCAATATTAATGTTTTATTAAAAATTATACAAGCAAAAACATAGATCATTCTGTTTTGAGCTGGGTTTATAGTTTTGTAACCCCTATGCCAAATTTTGACATCTTATAGTATTTGGCAGGGATAAGTTTTGCTTGAAATTGCTTGATTCATAAATGCAAACAAAAATGTATCCTGGCCATTCTTAAGATATTTCTAATATTACTCTACCAATAATGTTTTCTTTTTCTTTTTTTTTTGAAACAGAGTTTCGCTCTTGTTGCCTAGGCTGGAGAGCAATGGCACGATCTCAGCTCACAGCAACCTCCGTCTTCCGGGTTCAAGCCATTCTCCTGCCTCAGCCTCCTGACTAGCTGGGATTACAGGCATGCGCCACCACACCCGGCTAATTTTGTATTTTTAGTAGAGATGGGGTTTCTCCATGTTTGTCAGGCTGGTCTCGAACTGTGGACCTCAGATAATCCGCCCGCCTCTGCCTCCCAAAGTGCTGGGATTACAGGCATGAGCCACCGAGCCCGGCCATACTTTACCAATAATGTTAAAGCTAGCTTATTTATTAAAGATTTTATTTAAGTTACATAAACTTGAAAAAGCATTTGATTAGTCTTTTCTTTTTTCCTGATAATGCATTTGATTTAAGCACTTTTATTTTTCTTTAAGCCAATTAATTAGAGCTCTTTTATACATTTTTAGTAGTGAAACATTGTGTATGTGACACATAAATACATAGACATATTTATAGATTCATAAAGACCCTCTTTTTTTCTATCTTAGACTTGCAGATTTTTGATAACCTGTTTCACAACCCTAAGTAGTTGGCAGCTAAATAGCCTTAAATTTGCATATTAAAGAGAACAACTTAGGTGAAAATTAAATAGCAAAATTTACATCATAAAGTCCAGAGAGGAAAAAGTCTAGTGGTGCTAGAGGGAGACACTTTTATTTTTCTTTGAGCCAGATCAAACATAAAACTATGAAAATTTATCATGAGATTGTCTAAGGAGACCAATTTTATTCAGATAGGGACTACCTATCTTTTAACTGAATCTCTGAGCTCCGGGCAGGGTCCACACTGAGTCCTGGTTCTCTAACAAAAGGGAAAAGCCAGGCGCGGTGGCTCACGCCTGTAATCCCAGCACTTTGGGAGGCCGAGGCGGGTGGATCATGAGGTCAGGGAGTCAAGACCAGCCTGACCGACATGGTGAAACCCCATCTCTACTAAAAATACAAAAGAAAATTAGCTTGGCGTGATGGCAGGTGCCTGTAATCCCAGCTACTCAAGAGGCTGAGGCAGGAGAATTGCTTGAATCCGGGAGGCGGAGGTTGCAGTGAGCCGAGATCGCGCAACTGCACTCCAGCCTGGGCGACAGAGCAAGACTCCATCTCAAAAAAATAAATAAATAAATAAAATAGAAAAGGGAAAAAACTCTGTTGCAACTATTTCAGTAAAAAAAAAAAAAATCAGGTGAAAACAGAATTCGGTCAACTGAGAAGAAAGAAAGAAAAAAAAACTTTTGCTCAAAAAAAAAATGACAAGGTCCTAGGAGAGAAAAACAAATAAGAAGCAAACAAACAAAACAAAGAAACAAAAACGTAAAGGCCTTTTAAATACAAACAACGCACACACATCTTGGATGTTAGCCTTTTAATTAAGCTGACTTTTAACCACTGAGGTCCTTAAAATTTTTTTTTTTAATTTTATTACCATAGTTCAGCTAGGACAAAATGCTGCTATTTCAGAAGTACAGCCATTACTCTTTCAGTTTGGTCTGGCTGGCAAAAAAGGTTGCCTCGTTATGTAAATAAAGCCTCTTTAGTAGTCAACATTAAAAATCTTTCCTCTTTTTTTTTTTTTCCTTTTGTTGGCTCTTTTCTTCCCACTTCAGAGGCCTTGTTCCCCATAATTTAGAGTTCCCCTTTGGATTTGACCAAGTCAAGACGTGTGTCAGACCCAAAATGTGCTGCTTGCAGGCCTAGCTTTTCAGGGCTCTTACCCCCTGAACCGGATCAGTCCAACCGTGTCATGGCAACCTGGCACAGTGTGTCAGGGGCTCAAGGTGCAGGAGGGGTCAGCTCCTTATATGCACCTGCCAGCTGAGATTAGACCCTAAGCATGTTCTTCTTAAGGGGAAACCTATTTAGAGCTGCTGCACATCTTAGGGAGTATTCCTCCCAGACACCCTCACATGGTTCTCAGTTGCCTGAGAATGCCCTGAAAGGCTGAAGGGAGCAAGGTGCTCTTATTTCTTCAGCATGGAAGATTCCACACTCATGAGTTAGAAGGTTTGGAGTTAGTCCAATTCAATAAGGGAAAGGACACACACACACACACACACACACACACACAAAGACATAAACAGACAACAAAACAGGCAAAACTAACAATGATCACAAAAATTATATGATTTCTGAGCGCTGTAAGTGTAAGCAGAAATTAACACCAACTGGTTGTTATTGCTAACTTTAGTTGTTTAAAAAGAATTTGCAAGACAGAATCCCAAATCAGTTATCTTACCTAGTGATGGGGCCCAAGCTGAAAACTGCTCTTTGCCAATGGAGAAACAGGCAGGCTCACCTTTCTTGATGGAAGTGAGTGGAAACTCCCCACAAAAAAGGAGTTTTATTAATGGCAATTAAATCTCAGGCCCCCAACTGAAAAACGTTGGAAGATCAGGGATCCCTGGAGGAAAGAAGTCCCAGACTTCAGCAATCGTCCTATCAGTTTGGGCTATAAGGTGCCCAAGCCAGTACCAAGCACCAATAGGCAAGCTGCTACAGGCCGGGTCACCTTCACTCAGGATCCCTCTGTGGCTACCAGATGTCAATCGAGAATAATGGTGAGACAAGTCCCACTCATTTTAGGAGGTTTATTTGCCAAAGTTAAGGACATGTTCCCATGACAGAGCCTCAGGAAGTCCTGACGACATATGCCCAAGGTGGTCAGAACACAGCTTAGTTTTATACATTTTAAGGAGATGTGAGACATCAATCAATATACAAAAGAAGTACATTGGTTCTGTCTAGAAAGGTGGGGATAACTCGAAGCAGGGAGAGGGCTTCCAGGTCACATGTAGGTGGAGAGAAAAATGGTTGCATTCTTTTGAGTTTCTGATGAAACTTTCCAAAGGAGGCAAACAGAATATGTGTGTATCTCAGTGAGCAAAGGGATGATTTTGAATAGAATGGGAGGCAGATTTGCCCTGTGCAGTTCCCAGCTAGAATTTTTCCTTTAGCTTAGTGATTTTGGGGGCCCAAGATATTTTCCTTTCACAATATTAAACACATTACAATTTAAGAAGCCTTGCAAATTTTTTGAACTAAAACTTTTTTCTGCTCTGCATATGTTTTGCCACCATCAGTTGTAACACAATTTAATAGATTTCCACTTCTGGTTGTACTGAACTAGTGTTTTCTCAACTTCTTTGAAAATATTTTCACCTGTAATTGTTTCATGCAGACTATTCATAGAGGCTAATTTACTTACTTCATATTCATCATTGAATTGTTGAATAAAAAACAGCTGAACAGTACTGGTAACACACATTCATCAAGAGCAAGGAAATCCACTTCAGATCATTGCTTTTTTTTTTTTTTTTTTTTTGAGATGGAGTGTCACTCACTCTATCACCCAAGCTGGAGTGCAATCGCAGGATCTCAGCTCACTGCAACTTCCACCTCCCGGGTTCAAGTGATTCTCCTGCCTCAGGCTCCTGAGTAGCTGGGATTACAGGTGACCACCACCATGCCCGGCTAATTTTTGTATTTTTAGTAGAGACGTGGTTTCACCATGTTGGCCAGGCTGGTCTTGCACTCCTGACCTCAAGTGATCCACCCGTCTCAGCCTCCCAAAGTGCTGGGATTACAGGTGCCTTCTCTTTTAACAGACTATTGCATTGCTCTTGGGGAAATGAAATAATCCTGCCGCAAAAAGATTCCTCCCTGTCAATATAGATGAGTGAGAGAATGTAATTTCTTATTGAGTAAGCAATAACAGATTACATGCATGTAAGGTAGCCTGAAAATGACTACAAGGTTAAGACAAAATTGCACATAACTTATACAGCAAAGCAGAAGAAAGAACAATATCTCCTCAAGGGACAAAGGACTGTGCCTCCTGAAAAATCTCCTGTGCGTCCAGCAAGAGACCCTTGTTTACATATCTAGAGGTCATTTGGCACACAACCTTGGAGTTACATCCGTATTGTAAAAACTGGAGTCTAGGCTTAATCCCTAGAGAGATTCCAAATATTAGAGTAAGGACCCAAATTTATTTTGTATCCAAGGAGTAACTCTAAGAACTCTAAGAGAGGAGTCTGGGTGCAGTGGCTCAGGCCTGTAATCCCAACACTTTGGGAGGCTGATCCCAGGAGTTTGAGACCAGCCCTGGGCAACATGGTGAGACCCCATCTCTACAAATTTTTTTTTTTTTTTTTTTTGAGACCAAGTCTTGGTCTGTCGCCCAGGCTGGAGTGCGATGGTGCGATCGCAGCTCAAGGCAACCTCCGCCTCCTGGGTTCAAGTGATTCCCCTGCTTCAGCCTCCCAAGTAGCTGGGATTACAGGCACGCACCATCATGCCCAGCTAATTTTTGTATTTTTAGTAGAGATGGGGTTTCACCATGTTGGCCAGGCTGGTCTCAACCCCCTGATTTCAAGTGATCCACCTGCCTTGGCCTCCCAAAGTGCTGGGATTACGGGCACAAGCCACTGCACCCAGCCAAAAAATAAATATATATATTTTTAATTAGCTGGGCTTAGTGGCACAGGGCTATCATCCCAGCTATTCAGGAAGCCGAGCCAAGTGGATCCCTTGAGCCTGGGAGGTTGAGTCTGCTGCAGTGAACCATGATTGTGCCACTGCACTCCAGTCTGGGTGACAGAGCAGGACCCTGACTCAAAAAAAAAAAAAAGAAAAAGAAAGGAAGAAAGAAAAGGAGAAAAAAATGAAAGGAGAGAGAGGAAATGGTTTATTTGCCCTTTATAAATGGAGAAAATAACTTTTATTTATCCTTACACTCCCAATGTCCTCAGCTCTACAAGCAACTGTTATCACCAAAAGGCAAATTGTCTTAAGCAAGCTTATTTTCCTTGGACACACTTTTTTGGCTGCTACAATCAATAATGTAGTCCAGGCGCGGTGGCTCACGCCTGTAATCCCAGCACTTTGGGAGGCCGAGGCGGGCGGATCATGAGGTCAGGAGATCAAGACCATGGTGAAACCCCGTCTCTACTAAAAAAAATACAAAAAAATTAGCTGGGCGCGGTGGCAGGTGCCTGTAGTCCCAGCTACTCTGGAGGCTGAGGCAGGAGAATGGCGTGAACCCAGGAGGCGGAGTTTGCAGTGAGCCGAGATTGCACCACTGCACCCCAGCTTGGGTGACAGAGCAAGACTCCGTCTCAAAAAAAAAAAAAAATCAATAATGTATTTGGGGCTAGTTTACCAACAAATATTAAGACGGGATTCTTTAATTGCTCAAACCATTCTGGGCGCTAAACTGGTGTTCACTGGGGTTTGGAATAAACAGATACAAAGGGTATGCTTGTACTTTGCAGCCTGATACCTGTAGGCTAGTGGCCTGTAATTCCAAATCATGAGAGGGTGCAACAGGGCAGGTATCAAGTGTTCTTATGCCTTTTACAGCCTCTCCTGAGGCAAAATTGAGGCCTCTCCTTAGTGACACATATTTATAATTCTGCTCCATTTGAAATACAGCCTCCCAAGTAGAGGGGACTACAGGTGCGTGCAACCATGCAGCTAATTTTTTTAATTTTTTATAGAGATGAGGTCTCACTATATTGCCCAAGCTGGTCTCAAACTCCTGGGCTCAGATGACCCTCCCAGTTCAGCCTCCCAAAGTGCTGGGATTACAGTTGTCAACCACCCTGCCCAGCAAAAGTGACCCTTTTTGATATGCAAATATAACTCCTAGAAGAAATGTGTGTGGAGAAATTACTTGGTGTGATTAAGTACTGGGAATAGAGAGACGTGGGTGAGAATAATAAGAAAAGGGGTAAAAAATATTAAAACCACCTTTGCAAAATTATGACACACATTGAAAGAGATCGAACTTAATCAACTCCATCTTGCTTCTAACCTCCAAGCTCTGCTTGTTCATTCCTGGGTGTAGGCTGAACTAACTTTGAGAGAAACTTAGTTTATAGTTTAAAACAAAGATGGTAACAGCCCTTTCCCAAAGCAGACCTCCTTCTTGCCTGGGTACTAGATTGCCTTTGTAGGACTAACATTAGCCACAAGATCAGAAATCATGGTTTAGGAGTCATGCAGCTGGAGATTAAAAGATTCTGACCCTCCCTAAACTGCTCCTAAGATCAGTGCTTGAGATATTTTGCAGACCCTGCACTTGATGGATCAGCTGGCACCACCCAGATGGATAAACTGGCTCATCTGATCTTGTGGCTCCACCCAGGAACGGACTCAGTGCAAGAGGACAGCTTTGACTCCCTGTGATTTCATCCCTGACCAGTCAGCACACCCAGCTCACTGGCTTCCCCCTGCCCATCAAGTTGTCCTTAAAACTCTGCTCCCAGAATATTTGGGGAGGCTGATTTGAGTAATAATAAAACTCCAGTCTCCCACACAGCTGGCTCTGTGTGAATTACTCTTTCTCTATTGCAGTTCCCCTGTTTTGAGAAATCTGCTCTGTCTAGGCAGCGGACAAAGAGAACCTCTTGGAAAGTTATATTATGGAATGGCTGAAGGACTTTTAAAAATATTTAAAGAGGCTGGGCACCGTGGCTCATGCCTATAATCCTAGCACTTTGGGAGGCCAAGGCAGGCGGATCATGAGGTCAGGAGTTCGAGACCAATCTGGCCAACATGGTGAAACCCCGTCTCTACTAAAAATACAAAAATTAGCTGGGCGTGGTGGCGGGCACCTGTAATCCCAGCTACTTGGGAGGCCGAGGCAGGAGAATTGCTTGAACCCAGGAGGCAGAGGTTGCAGTGAGCCTAGATCGTGCCACTGCACTCCAGCCTGGGTGACAGAGCAAGACTCTATCTCGGAAAACAAACAAACAAATAAAATATATTTAAAGAATGGCCGGGTGCAGTGGCTCATGCCTGTAATCCTAGCACTTTGAGAGGTCTAGGTGGGTGGAATACTTGAGGCCAGGAGTTCGAGACCAGCCTGGCCAACATGGCGAAACCCCCATCTCTACTAAAAATACAAAAAATTAGCTGGGTGTGGTGGTAGGCACCTGTAATCCCAGATACTCAGGAGCCTGAGGCAGGAGAATCACTTGAACCCAGAAGGTGGGGGTTGCAGTGAGCTGGAATCACACCACTGCATTCCAACCTAGGCAACAGAGCGTGATTCTGTCTCAAAAAAAAGCCATATTTTTTATATCTATTTTATATATATATAAAATATATATATAAATAAAATATATATACACACACATATTTAAAGAACATTGATGTCCAAATATTCAATTTTGACTTGTTTATATAGGTATATTTTTTCCTTATATTACCCCCAAATATTCGGTAATGCCTGCTACTCATACAGATGCCTTCCATAAGAAATTTGGGGAGGGCAGGAAATAAAGAAATAATTATATTTCTAGGCTAGAGAGAGAAAAAAAGAAAGGGGCCAGGTGCAGTGGCTCACACCTGTCATCTCAGCATTTAGGGAGGCAGAGGCAAGAGGATCATTTGAGGCCAGGAGTTCAAGACCAGCTTGGCCAATATAGTGAGACCTCATTTTTACAAAAGAACAGAAAAACTTAGCAGGGCATGGTGGTACATGTCTGTTATCCCACCTAGTTGGGAGGTGGTGGTGGAGGATCACTTGAGCCCAGGAATTCAAGGCTGTGGTAAGCCATGATTGTGCCACTGCACTCCAGCCTAGGTAACAGAGCAAGACCCTGACTCAAAAAATCAAAAAGAAAGAGAGAAAGAACAGCTGCAGGGGTGAAACCAGTGAATTGTAAATTCAGCAAGGGCCAGCAAAAATGGTCAACAGTCAAGAGGAATCAAGCTCCTTCTCAATCCTAGAATTCACAAAAGGATCTATGATGACACTGGACTTCCCATTTAATGTGAGGTAAAACATTACATGCAATTTTATTTAATCTCAAAAAGAAAGGGTAACGCCAACTGACATTTTAGTTACAATATGTGAAAATAAGTAATTCAAAATCTAAGTGTCTCACACATCCGTGTGAAAAGACCACCAAACAGGCTTTGTGTGAGCAACAAGGCTGTTTATTTCACCTGGGTGCAGGCAGGCTGAGTCCAAAAAAGGAGTCAGCAAAGGGTGGTGGGATTATCATTAGTTCTTATAGGTTTTGCGATAGGTGGTGGAGTTAGGAGCAATGTTTTGTGGGCAGAGGGTGGATTTCACAAAATACATTCTCAAGGGTGGGGAGAATTACAAAGAACCTTCTTAAGGGTGGGGGAGATTACGAAGTACATTGATCAGTTAGGGTGGGGCAGAAACAAATCACAATGGTGGAATGTCATCAGTTAAGGCTATTTTCGCTTGTTTTGTGGATCTTCAGTTGCTTCAGGTGATCTGGATGTATACTTGCAGGTCACAGGGGATATGATGGCTTAGCTTGGGCTCAGGCCTGACAGTAACAATCTCTTTGGAAAACATATTGGCAATATCTACTGAAGCTAAACATACACATGACTAGTAGCTCAGCAATTCGATTCCTAGGTATATACCCAGTAGAAATACATGTACATCAATCACAGTTGTTGTTGTTTGTTTGTTTTTGTTTTGAGACGAAGTCTCGCTCTTGTCCACCAGGCTGGAGTGCGCTGACGTGATCTCGGCTTACTGCAACCTCCGCCTCCCGGGTTCAAGCGATTCTCCTGCCTCGGCCCCCACTATGCCCAGTAGCTGGGATTACAGGTGCCTGCTACCACGCCAGGCTAATTTTTGTATTTATTTTAGTAGAGACGGGGTTTCACCATGTTGGCCAGGCTGGTCTAGAACTCCTGACCTCAGGTGATCCACCTGCCTCGGCCTCCCAAAGTGCTGGGATTATAGGCATGAGCCACTGTGCCTGGCCTAGTTTTTTTTAATAGGAAAAATAAATACCAATTTGAGATAGTGGTCAACTCTGGGAACAAAAAGTGAAGAGGGAGGAAGAGAAGGGAATGAGATTAGAGAGGAGTATGTGAGGGCTACAACTTTATTTGAAATACTAATTTCTTTAACAGAGAACTTGAAGTAAATGTAAAATATTAAGATTTGGTAAAGCTATGTGATAAAAATGTTTTTTTTTTGTTTTTTTTTTTTGGAAACAGGGTCTCGCTCTGTTACCCAGGCTGGAGTGCAGTGGAGCAATCTCTGCTCACAGCAATTTCTGCCTCCCAGGCTCAACCAATTCTCGCACCTCAGCCTCCCGAGTAACTGGGACTACAGGGATGTGCCACAACACCCAGCTAATTTTTGTCTTTTTAGTAGAGATGGGGTTTCACCATGTTGGCCAGGCTGGTCTCGAACTCATGACCACAAGTGATCCACCTGCTTCAGCCTCCCAAAGTGTTGGGATTACAGGTGTGAGGCACCACACCTGGCCAGAATATGGGTATTTGTTATAATATTCTTTAGAGCTTCCTGTATGCCTCAAGTATTTCATAAAGAAGTTCTAAAAATCTTGTAGAAAAATAAAGACTCAGACTGCTTAGCTACCACTGTTGTTTTTTTTTTTTTTTAAAGACTGCAATATGATGCCAGGTGCTCTGGCTCACACTTGTAATCCCAGCACTTTGGGAAGCTGAGGCAGGAGGATAACTTGAGGCCAGGAGTTGTAGACCAGTATGGGCAACCTAGCAAGCCCTATCTCTACAATAGAAGATTAAAGGCCAGGCGCTGGTGGCTCACGCCTATAATCCCAGCACTTTGGGAGGCCAAGGTAGGCGGATCACTTGAGGACAGGAGTTTGAGACCAGTCTGGCCAATATGATAAAACCCTGTCTCTACTAAATATACAAAAATTAATTAGCCAGGTGTGATGGCTTATGCCTGTAATCCCACTACTCAGGAGGCTGAGGCAGGAGAATCACTTGAACCTGGGAGGCAGAGGTTGCAATGAGCTGAGATCACACCGTTGTACTCCAGCCTCAGTGACAGAGCGAGACTCCATCTCAAATAAAATAAAATATAATAAAAAATTAAAAAAAATAAAAAATTAAAATTTTTTTTTCTTTTTTGGTAGCATGTGTTTGTAGTCCTAGCTACTCTGGAGGCTGAGGCAGGAGTATCCCTCGAGCCCAGGAGCTCAAAGTTACAAGGGCTATGATTGCACCACTGTACTTCAGCCTGGGTGACAGAATGAGACCCTGTCTCTTAAAAAACAAAACTAGTCCAGGAGCGGTGGCTCACGCCTGTAATCCCAGCACTTTGGAAGGCCAAGGCGGGTGGATCACCTGAGGTCGGGAGTTCGAGATCAGCCATGACCAACATGGAGAAACCCTCATCTCTACAAAAAATACAAAATTAGCCAGGCGTGGTGGCACATGCCTGTAATCCCAGGTACTCAGAAGGCTGAGGCAGGAGAATCGCTTGAACCCAGGAGGCGGAGGTTGCAGTGAGCCAAGATTGCGCCATTGCACTCCAGCCTGGGCAACAAGAGCAAAACTCTGTCTCAAAATAAAACAACAACAACCAAAAAAAAAAAAAAAAAACGGCCGGGCACAGTGGCTCATGCCTGTAATCCCAACAGTTTGAGAGGCTGAGGCGGGTGGGTCACAACGTCAGGAGATCAAGACCATCCGGGGCAATATGGTGAAACCTTGTCTCTACTACAAATACAAAAATTAGCCCGGCGTGGTGGCATGCACCTGTAGTCCCATCTACTCAGGAGGCTGAGGTGGGAGAATCGCTTGAACCCAGGAGGCAGAGATTGCAGTGAGCCAAGATCGTGCCACTGCACTCCAGCCTGGGCGAAAGAGCAAGACTCTGTCTCAAAACAAAACAAAAACTGTTAAGGTCATCAAAAACAAGGAAGTTTGAAAAACTGTCACAGCCAAGAGGAGCCAAAGGAGACATGATGTCTAAATGTAATGTTCCAGCTTGGGTTAGATTTTGGCACAGAAAAAGGACATAAGGCAAAAACTAAGAAAATCAGAATAGGCCGGGCGCGGTGGCTCACACCTGTAATTCCAACACTTTGAGAGGCCGAGGCGGGTGGATCACCTGAGGTCGGGAGTTCGAGACCAGCCTGACCAACATGGAGAAACCCTATCTCTACTAAAAATACAAAATTAGCCAGGCGTGGTGGCACATGCCTGTAATCCCAGCTACTCGGGAGGCTGAGGCAGGAGAATCTCTTGAAACCAGAAGGTGGAGGTTACAGTGAGCCGAGATCTTGCCACTGCACTCCAGCCTGGGTGAAAGAGCGACAACTCCGTCTCAAAAAAACAAAAAGAAAATCAGAATAAAGTGTGGGTTTTAGTTATTGTTAATGTATCAATATTGGCTTATTAATTGTAATAAATGAACCATATAAGGAAAGATGTTAATAATAGGAGAAACTAGGTGTAGGGTATATATGAAAACTCTCTGCACTATTTTTACAAGTTTTCTGTAAATCTAAAATTGTTCTAAAATTAATTTTTTAAAGTCAAATAATTTACCTAAATCTATACAGCTAGTAAATACTCAAAGGTATGAGACAAACTCATAAGTTGAACCCATAAGTTGAAGTTTGAAGTTGAAGTTGAAGAAGTTTAGATGACTTCAAACTCTGTGGTTTTCCCACTACCCAAAACCTTTCTTAGTTTACCCTTCTGGGATTATGTAGGCATTTGTATCACTGTCTAAATAATAAGTTCCTTATGGCCAGAGAAAATACTTTTTTCTTTCTTTTTTTTGCGCTTCCACACCACTGACGTTGAGTAAACCAGTTTAAGTTAACTACTGACAAAGTCACAGAGCCTAAAGAATCTGAGATTTGGCCGGGTGCTGTGGCTCACGCCAGTAATCCCAACACTTTGGGCAGCCGAGGCGGGCGGATCGCTTGAGGTCAGGAATTTGAGACCAGCCTGGCCAACATGGTGAAACCTGTCTCTACCAAAAATACGAAAATTAGCCCGGCCTGGTGGCGCGCGCTTGTAATCCCAGCTACTCTGAAGGCTGAGGCAGGAGAATTGCTTGAACCCAGTAGGCGGAGGTTGCAGTGAGCCGAGATCGCACCACTGCACTCCAGTTTGGGCGAAAGAGCGAGACGCCGTCTCAAAAAAAAATAAAAAAGAATGTGACTTTTGTAGAACTTGATCAAATCCAGACCCAAACGGTCCGCTCCTCGGAGAGGCCACAGATCGGCGCTGAGCTGGGCTGTCTCAGTTCTGCAAGTGTCCTGTGCTGCCATCTACCGGTGTCTGGGAAGCGTCGCCCTCCCTTATTGTATCTCCTGGGGAGAGGTTGGAGAGGGCGCCGCTTAAACTGCAGAACATATGTAACTGTCATGCAGTTCATTAGACACCTGTACAAGGGAAAGGCCTCACTTTTCTCCAGCAATTGCAGGCCCTCCTAACTCCATATCAACACTCATCTCGTAAAATTCACAGATCTCGCTGACCTGCCTCAGTAGGTACTGATCTGACTCCTACTGTCCATCCCATCCCAGAACCCACACCCGCCTGCACAGCGTAGGCTTCAGAAACTGCTCAACCTCGCAGACCTGAACCCCACCGCCCAGATTCCCTCATTTTCACAGACCCCTGAGATTCCTTGCACTACCTTGCAATCCCTACGGACCTCCCCTATTAGTGCAAATGCACGCGCCCACCCAGACATCCCTACAAAGAGGTTAGAGTTCCGGCGGCAGCTCACACCGGTGCGAAAGCAGCGAGATAGCCCCAACCCGGCTCAGAGCCCTCAGGCTGGTGGCTTTGGCCCTGGCTCCATCTCCCCACCTCTGCCCTGATCCGCTCCGCTCAGGCTAGCAGCCTGCCGGCCGAGGCCCCGCCCCTCTAGACTTGTCATCACAGAAGCCGCACGTGGCCGGGGTGGGACCTCAGGCGACCTGCGACCATCACTTTGTCTCCTCCTTCCTCCTTTGGGGCCGCCACCGCCAATCAGAGCCAGCGGATCCTGGTTGGAGTGCGACCGCCCGGGTGAGGCGTGAGGGAGAAGGGGCGGAAGGAGGAGGGGCTCTGAGATGGGAGGGGGATCGTGGTGGAAGGGTCTTGGCGCGACTTCTGCCAGGCTGGAATCCGAGGGGGCGGGTCCTGGTGAAAGGCGGAGAGACCGAGAGGAGGCGGGGATCGGGGGTGGGGCCTGGGAAAAGCTGAGGATCCTGGGGAAATGCAAAGAAAACGCGAAGGAGGTGCGAGGTCAGAAGGGGGCGGGGCCCGGGCTACAGGGGAGGAGCTCGAGAAATTAAACGAGGAAAGGGACAAGTCCACAGAAGGTGGAAGGTGGGACAAGGGAGAGGGTGGGCCCGGGCGTTGCGGGGGCGGGGCTCAGACTGAAGGGGCGAGGTTTGCAGGCGGAGGCTACAGCTAGGGCTGCTCAGTAACTGCCCCAACCACTACCACGTCCCCAAGTGCAACGGGACCCACGGAACTACAGGTGTGGGGCAGGGTGAGCGTGGAAGAAGGGACGCGGATGGGGGTGCGCTTTGCAGACGATCTGGAGACTGCTGTGTGTTGAGGGAAGATACGAAGTCGCGGGAGCAGTTGGGGACTCAATGTGTGGGCAACAAGGTGCATTCTCCAGAGGCCTCTATGGGGGAAGGGCGGGAGCGCTTTGTTGTGGGGGGGTTGCGAGGTACATTGTGAGGGGGCTGTCTCTGTCTGATGTGGGGGGTTGGAGGAGGTACATGAGGGGCAGGGGACATGGAGGTGCTTTGAAGGAAGGGGGGCTGTTTAATGGAGAAGGAGTGTAGCGGTGTCGGAGGGTCTGCGGGCACTATCTAGGGGAAGGGGTTGTAGGCCCAACTTGAGGCAGGAGAACAGAACCCCCAGTACTTTGACAAAGTAACAGTTTAGGGCATTGTAGTAACTACAGGAAGACACTTGTGTTCTGGGTTCTAAGAGCAAGGGTGTTGGGGTTAGTGGGGTGAAGAGGCCAATCTATTGCACTCCTGTCTGCTCAGCTTTTAACTCCGCCTTCTGGCCTGGGCACTCAGAGAGGAGTCAGACCCTGCTTGTCACTAGGGCTTGTGTGAATGTCTCCTCAGTCTATTTTGGATCTGTCCAGCTGAGACTGGGGTTTCTTCCCTAAGCTGAGGTCCCGGGGGACCCTTCCCCCGCTGGGTTCCTGTCAACCCCCCATCCTAGTTCCTGTTCCTCCCAGAGCCGGCCTTGGTCTCTGTCTCCCCCCTCCCCCGCCCTGCCCTTATGCTCTGGGTGTGCTCATTTCCCACTTCCTTCCTTGCCCCAGGGCCTGGCCTGGCCCTTGCCCATCTAGGAGCTGTGCCCTGCCCGGTACTTTGTTATCAATGACCAGAGACCCTGGTAACCAGCGGCAGGGCTCAGACCCCACCCCCACCACTACCACCCAGGTCTCTCGCATAGATCCCCAAGTGACTGGTAGCCACATTTAACCACTTGCCACAAACAGATTTTCCCCACCCTTATCCTTCTGGGTAGGGAACGCTAGGGCTTCTGTGGGAGGGGGGAAGTGGTGAGGAGTATTGAGGGTCTTCTGTCTGTTTTGAGAGGTGGGCCACGACTGTAAGCTGAACCCAGTAAGGGTTGTGAGGTTCCAGCCACAGCTAGGGGAGGAAGAGGGAGTGGCTCCCCACACTCCAGGCTTGGAAGCACTATCAGAACAGGCTAGGACCTAGTTCTCTTGAGGGCTCCTCTGCTTCCCTGAGGGGATTTGATGGAGTGCTAGAGTTCTTTTTGCCCCTGGGCTGGCTGGGAGAGGGTGGGAAAGGCTTGAGTTCCACACAGTGGCTAAATGAGTGTGACAGTGTTGCTAAAAGGGGCCCCAAGCCAGCCTCCTCACACAACCACCCAGGAGCTGAGAGACTGGCTGGGGAGGGGGGTGGGTCTGCTGAGGACAGACAAAGCCCTGGGGTAGGGTGGGGTAAAAAAGGGCAGGCTGAAGCCTTTTGAGGAGGAGCTGATTGCTATGGCAACACTGCTTCCCAGACAGTCTCTCAGAGAGGGCGGGCCTAGGGCAGACTCTCCAGCTTCCTCAGGACTGGGGCGGTTTGTGTGAGTGGGTGGGGCATGAAGAGAAAGGGCATCAGTTTGCTGTGCTGAGACTGGAGGATATAGCCTTTCTGCTTTGGTACAGGCAGCAGAGCATTCGAATGCCTGGAGCTATCCTCTGATATGGAGATGAGTGAACAACAGTCATTAGAATTGTAGAGCTGCAGAGGCCCTCAGCAGTCATTGTTTATACAAACACCTCATTTTACAGGTTTGGAAATTTATGGCTAAAGAGACTGTGATTCCCCAGATGTCACAGTGAAAGGGCAGAAGATAGGATCCAGATCGCCGGATTGCTGTTCACTCAGCCCAGGGCCTGTTGTTTTCTTCAGTCAATGTTTATTGAACATTGCCAGGGACTAATGTTGGCTCTGGGAATATGAGCATGAACGAAACAAAGTTGCTGCTCTCATGGAGCTTCCATTCTATTAAGGGGAGAAAGAAATTGTGGAGGGGGAGGGAGAAGTCAAGTAGTGATAACCGCTATATAAAAAAAAATAAAGCAGGATAAATTTAGGGCAGGAAGGTAAGGCCTCTTTATTTATTTATTTATTTATTTATTTATTTATTTATTTATTTATTTTTGAGACGGAGTCTCACTCACTCTGTCACCCAGGCTGGAGTGCAGTGGTGCGATCTTGGCTCACTACAACCTCCGCCTCCTGGGTTCAAGTGATTCTCCTGCCTCAGCCTCCTGAGTAGCTGGGATTACAGGTGCGCGCCACCACACTCAGCTAATTTTTGTATTTTTAGTAGAGACGGGGTTTCACCATGTTAGTCAGGCTGGTCTCGAACTCCTGAGCTTGTGATCCGCCCACTTTGGCCTCCCAAAGTGCTGGGATTACAGGCGTGAGCCACCGTACCTGGTGGTAAGTCCTCTTGGTTGTACCCTGCTGCTTTCCCAGGGTACACTGAGGCCTGGAACATCTTTGATCCTTCACCCTGAACTATTGTCCTCTGACCTTTGTAGGTAACCAAGGCCTGGCCTATGGTAGTGGCAGAAAGATAGAATAAGGTGGGGTTGCTAAGGGATTATTTTTTTCCTACAGTGTTCTACGTCTCTGTTTTCCTAGTAAGTTTTTATTAAGGCAAGTAGGCTCTTACATTGATACACTGTAATTTTGACAAGGGCATTGAAAATTTCCTTAACCCTGTTCCTTACACTAGGGAACCGGCAAGGAAGTCAGCCCAAGGGAACTGGGTTCTTATTCAGAGTTTTCCTCTTGAAAAGGGTGGTCTAGGGTGAGGTAAGGAGAAGGGAGCTTAGAGGGACTGTTACTTGCTTGTGTCTCCCAAGTCTAGGACTGAGGGACTAGGGGGAAGAGGAAGGAGCCTCTTTTTACTATCTAGTGATATAACCTCAGGGCCCTGGGGGGTCCACAGCACAGGCAAGGCAGAAACAAGGACCTTGGGCTCTCTGTGGCCTCTGAACTGTAGAAGAATGGACTTTCCCTCTTTGGCTCTGGTGTTTGCCTCCTGCTTCTGTGAAGGACCGGGAGAAAAAGCCTCCTAAGTCCCAAATTATCCGACTTGCTGACAAGTGCAGAGGGCAGGGTAGACAGGACTATTGCTTTTCTTAGTTTACCTCTAGAGTACCCTCTAGAAAGTGTCTTTGAATGCTCAATCCTTGCAAAGGTTTCCATCCTGGTCATTTAAAGAATAGGAGGACAAGGGTTAGGGATGCCGGTTCTGCTGCCATTTGATTTGACTGGGTCTGAACTGGGCTGGGGCCCAGTGACTCAGTGGGAGGGTGGATAGTTTTGAGGGAGCTGTGAGTCATGGGGTTGAGCTCCATCACAAGAGTTGGGCTCATTTCCCCCATTCTGGGCAGAAGCTCTCCTATCCCACTTCCCTGTATGCTCTGTCTCCTTGAACATGGGCCTGTGAGTAGAAAGAGTGCTGGCAGGCTGATCTCAGAAAGGGAGTTCAGAGGCACAAAGAATAATGCTGGTCCCTGAGATTAAAATGTATCCCTATCTTAGGAACCCGTGGGGCTCCTCTAAAGAAGGCAAAAGAACATCAATTTAAGAGTAACAGAGGGAAAAGTACCACTTCTTAACATGGAAGGAGATAGGGTCCCACCTCAGGCCTTTTTCTTCTCTGGCATGGAGGAAGCTTCCTGGGCTTCACTAGTTCTCCAGCTCTGAAGCTTTGGTTTGGAAGGTGGGGAAAGACAAATGGGAGTGAGGTATTTGGGGTCTGGGGTCTGGTATAGACAGCAGGCAGACTTTGAGGGTTGTCAAACCGTATCTTTAAAGCCCTCGGGCTTCCTATTAACCGTCCTGGAAGGAGGAAGGGCGGGGGAGTAGGGCGGAGGGGTAAGATGTGGAAGGCCTACGCCTTTGAAAGGGTTAAATGGCAGGGCAGGGTGTTGCTTTGGACTCCGGCAGCTGTCGGGTTAAGGAGAAGGGCGGAGCGACCTTGGGTAAGCCTACCCCCTTATGGACCAATAGGCGTGTGCCTCTTGGAGGGGGCGTGCCTCGCACTTGAGGTCGCGGGGAGGCTGGCTTCCTATGGACCAATGAGCATGGTCGCTTTCCAGGGAGGGCGTAGCCTGAGGGGGGCGTGGCGGCCGTGGCCGCCGCGGCGCGGGTGGTGGGGCACTGGGCGGGGCGGGCGGCCCCATCAGCTGGTAGGAAATGGCCTGTGAGTCAGAGGGGCAGTGGAGTCGGCGGCGCGGAGCCGGGGCGGCCCCGGGGAGGGACCGTCGCAGGGAGGGGCGCGGCAGCGGCTGGGGGGCTGCGGGCGCCAGGGCCCGCTAGTGTTGCACACGAAGCTGAACAGCGAAGAGCCTAGCAGAGCAGGGCTCAGCCTGAGCCACCCTTTGTCTGGGTTGGGGGCCCGTGGCAGGGAGGACCGGGGAACCAAGGGGAGGGACCGGGACGGGACGGGACGGAAGGGCCCGGAGCAGCGGCCACCTCCGCGGAGCCAATTTGGGAGCGGGGTGAGTGTGCTAGAGGGAAAGAGCAAATCTCCGAAGCTCCAGTATAGTATGGGGCCTGTCCCAGGCTGTGGGGAGGAGAGGAGTGAGAAGGGACCTGGGAGGCTGGGCAGGGGGTAAGGGATCGTCCAGAAGAAGGAGTCCAGGAGTCAGGTGAGTCTGCCTGGCTTAGTTTAGAGAGTCTGCTAAGGTCTGCTCTCTCCCCTCTGAAGATAGAGGGCTCTAGGCTGGGGGCCGAGGGGTTGGTAAGAGAGAAGAAGTCGACCTTCCTACCCACAGTGGTGGTCCGTGGGAACAGCCCCCCTAGCTTGTGTGGATGTATGTAGGGACAAAATAGAGAGCAGCTGGCAGCAGTTCTCTTTGCATAGGATGAGGGTGGAAAGCACATGGATAGGAATTCATCCTGTCACTCTCCTTGATCATGGTAGAAATGGAAATCTTTAATACTGAAGGGAAGGGGAGAATGAGCCTTGAAGCTGATACCTATACCAATACCCACCTCACCCACCTCCCAGGCCTCAAAAGTGTCTAAAGGTACAGACGTATTCTGGGACTTGTTGTTTTTGCTGGCCTTGCTCCCTCAGCATGTTGGGAGCTGTAGTCCTTGCCAGCCACAGCCTGGCACAGCTGTTTGATGCCAGCTGCTGCCCACCCCCTGAACGAAGAGTGAGGCTTGGCCTACTCTGCCCTGCCCCCCTCCCCTGCAGTCCTGCCCCATGAGTCAGCTTGAAGCCATGGTCTAGAGCCAGACTGGCTGGGTGGCAGGGGAGTGAATATAGAGCGTCTTGTTGACAGGGTGGGAACTGAGAGGGCTCTGGGGTTAATAAGCAGATGCCAGGTATGCTGGGGTCAAGTAGGGCATCATGTCATCCCCTGGCTTCCCCAGGGCAAGGGGTCAAGAGGGCAACTGGGATGACCTGGAAGTGGTGGTGCTAGGGAAAAGGCCCCTCCTGAATCTGTATGGCTTGGGTGGAGGAAAGAAGGGTAGAAATTAGTGCAGGTTGTACCTTCTGACAAGGTTGGTTGCAGGTAGGATAGTGCAGGTTGCGATTGGTGTTCTGCCCTTTCCAGCCATCCCGCCCACCACAGGGAACCAGGATTTTCTTAGGGATCCCAATTCTTAGGAGAATTTGGTGAAATGGGATAGTGGGGTACAATGATGGGAACTTGGTGTAGGAGAGCTTTTCAGTCCCTGGGTACAAATCTCTCCTTTCTGCCTGCTCCCCACCCCCACCTCTGTTCCTGATTTTCCCTTGTACAATTAATCTCTCTGCTTCTCTCATCTGGGAAATTTTTCTCTCCACTCTCAGGACTGCTGCTCAGATGTCTGGGACTTGCATTCTACTTTTTTTGAGCCCTGCTGTGTGCTTACCCCTGTACTTGGGGTTGGATGGAGGGGTGGGACACAGATCTGTCCTCAGGAACTCTATGGTCGGTCTAGAAGATGCCTTACCCACAGGAGTGAGCAGAACTGTTAGTGAGCTTACAGGAAGTAGTAACACTGCCATAGGTGAGGTCTCAGAGAAGGGAGAGATGCTTATGGTCTGGGGTGGACAGAGCAGACTTTCTGGAGGAGATGGCATTTGACCTATCCAAGGAGGAAAAGTCTTGGGTAGGCATTCAAAGGGCACTTCTTGAAGGGGAAAGAGCACCGTGAATGTCAGACAGCAAAAGAGAAGGCTGACCCTGGGGGCAGCTGGCTTTCAACTTGACATTCCCCTCACCCTAGTATGGGCTGGAATAGTTAGTGAAGACCATCTTATGCACCCGTGGTTTGGGGTTTTGGTGTTGGGTGTGTGAGCACTGGGGGAGGGGCGTGGAGAGGTACTCCCTAGTTGCTTCCAGCTGACTGACTGCTGCGGCCTTATCTCTAGTTTGCAGGGCCTTGCGGGAGGGCCCTGGAAAGTGCCTTCTGGCAGTGACCCCTTCCCCTTCCCCTTCTTGTTTTTGGTCGGATTTGTTGCCTCTTGTTAAAGAGACAGGCTGCTGGAGGCAATTTGGAGTTCAGGGCTGAAAGGCCAGCTCTGAGCTGACTTGAAATTTGTACCTCTGAGGACCGCTGATGGGGTATAACTGTGTGGGAGACCTCTGCCCTTAGTGCCCTAGGATGGCACTTGTCCCTTTGGAGATAGACATATAAGAAGGAGTTGTGCAATTTGGTGGCTTTGAGTAAGAAAGCTGAATTCTTCCCCTGGCCGCCTCTCAGCTGACACGGTCTCTTGGATCTTGGGGGTCTCTCATCCCTTCCTCCATGTAGGGCAGGAGTCCTCAAATGGTGGCCCTGACAAGTAGTTATTCTACCTCAACTCACTTGTCACATCCTTATTATACTGAGCCAAGACCTGCCTCTTTGACTCCTTAGGTAGCCCAACTCTGCCATCTGTGCCCTGGACCCCAAGCCTACCCTTTCTGTTCCTGAAGAGCCTCTCACATGGGAGAAGGATGTCCTGGAGTGTACTATTAGCCTATAATTGGTGACAGGCCTTACCGCTGGCTCCAGTGATCCTGGCTTACGTCTGTTCTTCTCTCCTCAGGGTCCTGCTGAGCTCAGGAGCTGCACGGAATGGTGGCAGTCACCTTGCCAGTGCAGCAGGCATGGATCAGACTGCAAGCTAGGGGCACGAGGCATCAGTTGGGAAGAGGGGACGCACAGCTAGGCTTGAGGCCTCTTCATCGGGGTAAGTACCAGGGAGAAGAGGGGGAAGTGTGTCCAGTAAGAAGCCTGAGCTAAACCTGTCACCCTCTCAGGAGTTCTGAGAGTGGTCTCTATATTCCATTAGTCCATCCAGGGATTTGTACACATTCATCCTTGGGAACCCATCAAAGTCACCCCTTTAGGCAAGGAGAGGGTCTGAAACTCAGCTGGAAGGAAGAAGACTCATTGATTCCCCTGACCACCTTTTCTTCTCTTCTCTTACACAGATGTCCCCAGGCCCCCCAGCCCAGGCCCAGCATAAAGGCCGTGTTGGGGGGCCCCCCTGACCCAAGGGGGGCTTCATGCGCCACGTGCAGGCGGAGCCGTCTCCATCCTCAGAGCCGGAGGCTGGCCCTTCACAGCCTCCAGTCAGGCAGGGGGCCCTCCAGGGTGGCCTGCTCATGGGCTACAGCCCAGCAGGGGGGGCGACATCCCCCGGGGTCTACCAGGTATCCATCTTTTCCCCTCCGGCTGGTACCTCTGAGCCTCATAGGGCCCTGAAACGACAAGCCCCATCCACTGAGGGTCCCCGGGAGCTGAAGAGAGGCCCTGGGCTGGGGGCCAGAGAGGGACTACCCCCTGAAGAACCATCTACTGTGGGGCTCTTAGGCCCAGAGGGACCGGGGCTGGGACTAGGTGTGGCCAGCCAGCATTTCTCCCACCGTGGCCTCTGTGTTGTGGAACAGAGAAGTAGTGTCACCTCATCTTGGACTTCGGGGGCCTGGAGTCCCCCCTGCCCCCCATCAAATGCTTCCTGCAATACTTTGCACACCAGAGACTGGGCCTCCCCAGATCCAGGGGGACAGGGGTCCCTGGGGGAGTCCCCAGGGCCAGCCCCTCCAGGCCAGCTGCACACACTTGACACTGATTTGCACAGTCTTGCACAAATAGGGGGTAAGAGCCCAGTGGCTGGGGTGGGCAATGGGGGTAGCCTCTGGCCTAGGGAGTCCCCTGGCACTGCCAATGGGCACAGTCCCGAGCACACACCCCCTGGCCCTGGACCCCCAGGCCCCTGCCCCACCAAGCGAAGGCTGCTTCCTGCTGGAGAAGCCCCAGATGTCAGCTCTGAGGAAGAGGGGCCAGCCCCTCGGAGGCGCCGGGGATCCCTGGGCCACCCTACTGCTGCCAACAGTTCTGATGCCAAAGCCACACCCTTCTGGAGCCACCTGCTGCCTGGGCCCAAAGAGCCTGTTTTGGTAAGCCAATAAAGGACCTCATTTACTCTTTTTTTACTTTTTTTTTTTTTTTTTTTTTTTTGAGATGGGATCTCACTCCATCACTGCTGGAGTGCAGTGGCACAATCTCAGCTGACTGCAACCTCCTCCTCCCAGGCTCAAGGGATCCTCCAACCTCAGCCTCCCAAGTATCTGGGACCACAGGCACATGACATTGCACCCAGCTAATTTTTGGTATTTTTGGTAGAAATGGGGTTTCGCCATGTTGCCCAAGCTGGTCTCGAACTCCTGAGCTCAAATCATCGACCCACCTTGGCCTTCTAAAGTGTTGTGATTACAGGCGCTCAAGCCACTGCGCCTGTCCTTCATGTACTCTTAAGTGGATATTTGTGTGGGTAAAGGTGGAGGCCTGGGGGGCAGGGTGTTCCTTTGAGAGTTTGTGATGAGCTTCTGCCCCAAAACATACATGGCCTTCACCCTGTGTCTTTTCCCAATCATTTCTCTCCGTAGGACCCAACAGACTGCGGTCCCATGGGGCGGAGGCTGAAAGGAGCCCGTCGCCTGAAGCTGTAAGTGACCAGCTTTTTCCTCTACCCTGTCCCTGAGAATGGGGGCAGAAGTCTGTACTCTTTCCAGCATCCGAGTAGGGGACCCCAGGGCAGAAGCCCTACATAGTGGCAGAGGGTGGAGTCCAAGGGCATAAGCAGGAATCCCAGAATACCTCAAGCCAACCCCCTGTGTTTCCCTTCCTCTACCAGGAGCCCCCTTCGAAGCCTCCGGAAGGGGCCAGGCCTGCTGAGCCCCCCCAGTGCCTCCCCTGTTCCTACCCCTGCTGTCAGCCGTACCCTGCTGGGCAACTTTGAGGTAGCTCCCGTTGGGGTTTGTGATTGCCGGGGTCCTGGGAGAGGTGGGATGGTGGAATGTGGCTTGGATGGATAAGGAAAAGAATTGGCATCTCTCTCTTCATGTGTTTTCCCTACCCTAATCCCAGGAATCATTGCTGCGAGGACGTTTTGCACCATCTGGCCACATTGAGGGCTTCACAGCAGAAATTGGAGCTAGTGGGTCATACTGCCCCCAGCACGTCACGCTGCCTGTCACTGTCACATTCTTTGATGTTTCTGAGCAAAATGCCCCGGCTCCCTTCCTGGTATGCCTTGACTCCAACCCCAAAGTCAGCTCATCAAGAGGATGAGGATTTGGGGGCGGGGCCAGGGGGCAAGAGGTATTTCTTACTTATTCCTCACCTAGAAGTGAGTCAGGGCCAGGTGAGGAGAACTCTACTGTAGGGCAGGGGCAGGTTCAGGGTGAGAGCTTGTGGAGAGGGACATGTGTTTAGGGCCCAGGGTTTTCCTAGTCCCCACCTTGACTGATGGCTCCCTGGCCTTCCAGGGCATCGTGGATCTGAACCCCTTGGGGAGGAAGGGTTACAGCGTGCCCAAGGTGGGCACCGTCCAAGTGGTGAGTTTGCCCTGAGGGAGTGGGAGTGGGGAGAGAGGAAAGCAGCCCTCAGGCCCTACCAACCTTGACTGTCCTGTCCCTAGACCTTATTTAACCCCAACCAGACTGTGGTAAAGATGTTCCTTGTGACCTTTGACTTCTCGGACATGCCTGCTGCCCACATGACCTTCCTGCGCCATCGCCTCTTTTTGGTGCCTGTGGGTGAGGAGGGAAATGCTAACCCCACCCACCGCCTCCTCTGCTACTTGCTGCACCTCAGGTGAGGAGAGGGCCCAGGGATGGCTGGGGAGGCCCAGGTATCCCCTCCCTGAAGAGGATCTCTCCTTGCTTCGATACTGTCCGGATTCTTGCTTAGTTTATTTTTAAATTTTTATGTATGTATGTACATATATATGTATGTATTCATTTATTTTTAGAGATGGGGTCTCGCTATGTTGCTTAGGCTGGTCTCCAACTCCTGGGCTCAAGCAGTCCTCCCACCTGGGTCTCCCAAAGCACTGGAATTACAGGCATGAGCCACTGAACCCAGCCTGGATTCTTACGTTGATCACATTGTCCTCCTCCAGGTTCCGGAGCTCCCGCTCAGGCCGCTTAAGCCTGCATGGAGATATCCGCCTGCTTTTTTCCCGCCGGAGCCTGGAGCTGGACACAGGGCTCCCCTACGAACTGCAGGCTGTGACCGAGGCCCCTCATAATCCACGTTATTCACCTTTGCCCTGATTGCCAGCACTCTGAACCCATGCGGGCTAATGACCTGCCCATCCTGCTCCATCTTAGAGAACATATATGGAGAGACAGCAAGAGACCCTTCAGGCTTGAATTAAAGCCCTCACCATGCTCACGCCCAAATGGATTATTTGGGTGTTTAAAGCTTCTGATTCTTACTACACCCTGCCCTACTTCGGGTACTCCATGTGCCTGTCCCCTCCCTTGGGTTTCCCAGGCCAGCTTAGGTAGTAGGGAGGAACTGGAGCTACCCTGAGATTTTCTCAAGTTCCCAGGCAAGTTATGCCAGCGTTGCCTCCCTGTCCTGGGCAGGGGCCACTTGTTATTTTATTTATTTTTAATTTATAATTTATTCAAATTGGATTGCCTTGGTAACCTCCCACACCTGATAATTGGCATCACTCCTCCCCGCTTCCCACTCTCAGATATTGCTCCAACCTCAGGAGTTGAAGAGGCTTATGCGGTGGGGGCAGGAGGAGAACTGCTTTCCCTCAGCTGAGGGAAGAGGGGCTATTCCAGAGGGACTGAGTCAGTAGCCAAAGACTCAGCTTCCCCTGTCCTTCCCCAGTCCCTTCACTTCCCCTACCCTCTGACCTATCTCTGAAAGCCAAGTTATGCGTATGTGTGTGTGCACAAGCTTGTCTTTGTGTGGTATGTGTGTGTGAGTGTGCATGTATGCACACACACAGGGGTTAACCACCCCTCACCTAGGGCTCCAGACTCCAGTTGTCCCTCTCCTCCTACCTGTGTCTCCTTGTTTTGGGGTCCTGACTGAAGAAGGTGTCCAGGGGGCAGAGTCAGGGCCAAGCACTGGGGTGCCTCCTCTCACCTGGCCAGACTCTGACCCACCTACCTCAGCTGGGGTGAGGGGCACCCCTCAAACTCAGTCATGTGGTTCCAAACTACCCCATTCCCCACTCCAGACTCTGACCCAGCCTCAGTCCTAACTCCTGGGGCTGGGCTGAGGGGAACAAGCATTTGCTGAAACTTGAAAAAACAAAGCAAATCAAAAACAGGAAAAAATTGTACCTGGTACTTTTTTTTAGAAAAAAAGATTAAAAAAGAAAGAATAAATTCTTGTTTGGAAACTTGAACTAAGCTCTACTTTTGTTGTTGTTGTTGTTGTTGGGGAGAGGGTGTGAAGGGGGATGGAGGGCCTTCCTGGAGCTGGGACTCAGCCCTTTCTACCAGAGAGGCAACAGGCCTGGGCCCATGAGGTCTTAGGCTAGTCCCTGCTGATTCCTGGGGCCTGGTTTTTCTCCTTTCGGAGGGGTTGGTGGGTAAAGTTCAGCCGTAGAAGCTGAACTCTGAATTGTAGATCAGGATTCTAATACTGGTTCTATTAATGACTTTAGCCCCTCAGAACTTCAGTGCCCTCATATGTAAAATGGAGGTGACTACGGAGGTCTCTTGACTACCAGAGCATTAGGGATGTGGGCAAGGTGACATGCTCCAGACAAGGTTGAACGTTGAGGCTGTTTGCTGGACTGTATTTAAGACCGGGCATAACAAACCTTGCTTGGGAAGACAGGGAAGGAGCTGCAGTGTCTTTGAGGAAAGAGGGGAGGGGAAAATCTCGGCCCAATCGCCAGGCAATATTAGGCCCAGTTTCCATGGCAACGGGATTGGGGTCAGTCCCCAGTGGGAGTCCTGGGCACAACACAGCGGGACTACCAGAGAATATCACTATGGCAACCATGGCAACGAGTCAGCTCCAATCCACTAGTCGCTATGGTGACAGATGGGGGCGATACTACGCTCTGGTGGGCAAACTGAGTCTCGGGTGAGGACGAATAATTCAGTGCGTGGTGTCTGAGTGATAATGCCCGCGAAAAATAGCCTCCATTTTGGCCATCAGGCCGGGGATCTTCGGCGTGAACAGCTAAACCCAGAACAACCACAGCCTTCGCCCTTCTCTAGAAGGTCTGCGTTTCCCAGGGAACAACTTGACGCGCCGTTCGACCAAGTAACGCTGATTGGGTGAGTGTTGAAGCGGGGGAGGGAGCTGCCGGAAGTACATCCGGGGGAGCGGAACTGCAAGAGGAAAGGCTCGGGTAGGCTTCTGGGAGCGACCGCTCCGCTCGTCTCGTTGGTTCCGGAGGTCGCTGCGGCGGTGGGAAATGCTGGCGCGCGCGGCGCGGGGCACTGGGGCCCTTTTGCTGAGGGTGAGAGCGAGGCAACCTTTCCAGAGGGTCAGGACAGAGATTACCTGGGTTCTCCGCTGGAAAAGAGCGAAATTCCAACTTTTGGAGAGGACTGGGGTCAGAGGTCATGGTCCCCATGTGATTCTCCGAGGATCCTGAGGGTCGTGGTTTATGGAGATGCCTTCAGGACCGAGGGGCGGCGTGTCTGGCCAGATGGGATCTCTGCTCACCCTCTTCTTTCCTTCAGGGCTCTCTACTGGCTTCTGGCCGCGCTCCGCGCCGCGCCTCCTCTGGATTGCCCCGAAACACCGTGGTACTGTTCGTGCCGCAGCAGGAGGCCTGGGTGGTGGAGCGAATGGGCCGATTCCACCGGATCCTGGAGCCTGTGAGAAACCTCTTCTGCCCACCCTGGGCCAGCCAGATGACCAATCCCTCACGACATGCAATGTCGGGAGGACTTCCTTTGGGCCTGCCCGCACTGTTAGCTCCCGACTCTGTAGGCCAGACCTGACAGGGCCCAGGCTGCTGACCATCATCCCCATGTTACCACCTTTTCCTATGCATCTCACAGGCCCCATTCTTGGGAATCTCCCCTGCCCACTCTCAGCCCTACCTCTCAGTCTGCATAGAGATGGCTATTCTGCTGGCTCCGATTCTCATGACTCTCCCCTCCATTCAGGGGCCTAGTCTTGCATTCCTGTTCTCTTGGGTTTTCTTACCAGTGACACCTCAGCCTTCTGAGGACTTATTTCTTGGTAGGAGCTGCTGCTTTTCTGGGCATGTTCCATGTGTTGACTCCCTACATACTCCAGGACTAGCTTAGGTCCCAACCCAATAGTTCCCAGCCTTCTGAGGACCCATGACTCCTCTTTCCAGGGTTTGAACATCCTCATCCCTGTGTTAGACCGGATCCGATATGTGCAGAGTCTCAAGGAAATTGTCATCAACGTGCCTGAGCAGTCGGCTGTGACTCTCGGTGAGGGGTTCAGGGTGACATGGGTGCTCTGAGGCTATTAGGATGTGGTTGCTGTAGATCCAGAGCTTAGTAGAAAGAACTGGTTGGGACCTAGAGGCCTGACTTTCCCCGTTTTCTCTCCTGGTTCTACAGACAATGTAACTCTGCAAATCGATGGAGTCCTTTACCTGCGCATCATGGACCCTTACAAGGTACCTGTCCCCTACTTTATCCAGCCTTTTGAGTTGCCCTCTTCACTAAAATCTTGTGCCCAAGCTTCTTACACTATCCGTGTCCATCTCAGGCAAGCTACGGTGTGGAGGACCCTGAGTATGCCGTCACCCAGCTAGCTCAAACAACCATGAGATCAGAGCTCGGCAAACTCTCTCTGGACAAAGTCTTCCGGGTAAGCAGATCTGAGCCAGAGTTAGGGTTTGAAGACACAAACCTGACACTCTTAATCTTTTCTGAAGGTCAAGATCAGTCCCAGGCCCTTCTCAGTGTAGGCCCTTGATAGGTAGGTTGAGGCTGTGGGGCTTACACCTCTTTTTCCAGGAACGGGAGTCCCTGAATGCCAGCATTGTGGATGCCATCAACCAAGCTGCTGACTGCTGGGGTATCCGCTGCCTCCGTTATGAGATCAAGGATATCCATGTGCCACCCCGGGTGAAAGAGTCTATGCAGATGCAGGTGGGGGCCAAGGAGGGGTGGGAAAAGGGCCTCAGGGTGCTCCAGTACCAGGAGGATCCAGACTTCCCTCCTGTTATGATGGGTAGAGTTGCATGTCTGTATCAGTCTCCCTTGGCTTGTTGATTGGGATTGTTGTGGGCTTCCAGGTGGAGGCAGAGCGGCGGAAACGGGCCACAGTTCTAGAGTCTGAGGGGACCCGAGAGTCGGCCATCAATGTGGCAGAAGGGAAGAAACAGGCCCAGATCCTGGCCTCCGAAGCAGAAAAGGCTGAACAGATAAATCAGGCAGCAGGTCAGGAGAGGGTAGAGGCTGAGGGAGGAGCAAGGCATGGGCCTTTGAAGATTGGTGCTGGGGCAGGATCTTTGGGGTACTTTGACTTCATGGGTCAAGCAAGCTCTGTCCCTTCTCTTGCAGGAGAGGCCAGTGCAGTTCTGGCGAAGGCCAAGGCTAAAGCTGAAGCTATTCGAATCCTGGCTGCAGCTCTGACACAACATGTGAGAGGCCCCTGGGTGGGAATGGGGACAGGAATTGACAGTGGAAGGGGTTCTCTTATCTACGCTTGAGGAGAGTTCCGCCTCTGTGGGCTCTGTTGAGCCAGATTACATGGTCCTTTTTATTGTGAACTGCTTTCTTCATTCCCCATCCCCCCCTTCTTCTCCGTATCGGTGATCTCTGATTTTTATCCCCCTGTGATCACAGAATGGAGATGCAGCAGCTTCACTGACTGTGGCCGAGCAGTATGTCAGCGCGTTCTCCAAACTGGCCAAGGACTCCAACACTATCCTACTGCCCTCCAACCCTGGCGATGTCACCAGCATGGTGGCTCAGGTTAGAGCTCTCTGAGGACCCAGCATAGAGCACTGGTGCCAGGGACCAAACTGAGACCCCACCACCGTCATCAACACTTACATACCATAAAGGTCTTCAGAGTGCCTTGGCCCTAGACCTCCCTTCATTCTTTGTAGAGATGGAATCTAAGAATGAAACATCTCCACTCAGTCCTGCAAATATGGAAGTTCTTGAGATACCTTTTTTTGGTAGATACTTGTGCTGGTATTCTGAGAGTCACTTTACTCTGATGGTTTGCAAGATTCCTAAAATCAACTCCAGAGCTTACAAGACAGGTTTGAGAGAGGGAGAAAGGAAAACCAACTTACTGGCCCCCATGCCATCTTTTCCCGTTTAGCCATTGGTAGGCTGGGCTGCACCTCTGTCAAGTGTCCTCATGGTATTCTCTCTGTTCCTCTCCTCAGGCCATGGGTGTATATGGAGCCCTCACCAAAGCCCCAGTGCCAGGGACTCCAGACTCACTCTCCAGTGGGAGCAGCAGAGATGTCCAGGGTACAGATGCAAGTCTTGATGAGGAACTTGATCGAGTCAAGATGAGTTAGTGGAGCTGGGCTTGGCCAGGGAGTCTGGGAACAAGGAAGCAGATTTTCCTGATTCTGGCTCTAGCTTCCCTGCCAAGATTTTGGTTTTTATTTTTTTATTTGAACTTTAGTCGTGTAATAAACTCACCAGTGGCAAACCAGAAACTGTCCTCTTTGATTGGGGAATGAAGTTGGGAAAGTCACTAGCATTTTCCTTGGATCCAGTCCTGTCAGCATGATGCCTCCATGAATAAGAGTGAACTTCTTGTAAAGTGAAACTATCATTTTTGTCTTCAAGAGAAACTGTGGGATAGGGTGGAAGTGTTAAACCATATGTTCACTGAACTGCTGGCTGGGAAGTGAAGTCCCCTTCCTGCTAAGTGTGGGGCTGTGTGTTTGAGGCAGGTGTTTGGGGGTTTTTTCGTGGGAAAGAAGTACTTTCATGAGAAACTACTACCCTGCACTGGCATACTTAAAGGGTTTTCAGGGACTGAGGGTGCTCCTCATTCATTTATTCAAAAACATTGAATGTCTACCAAGTGCCAAGCTCATTACTAGACACTGGATTACAAAAATACCTGAAACCCAGTGGTCCCTGCTTTCACAGAATACAAGGTCAGGTAGGGAAAACAGACAGGAAGCAGACAGTGATAGAAAGTGATAAATGTGGCCGGGCGTGGTGGCTCAACACCCGTAATCCCAGCACTTTGGGAGGCTGAGGTGTGCAGATCATGAGGTCAGGAGATTGAGACCATCCTGGCCAATATGGTGAAACCCCGTCTACTAAAAATACAAAAACTAGCTGGGCGTGGTAGCATGTGCGGGTAGTCCCAGTTGCTTGGGAGGCTGAGGCAGGAGAATTGCATGAACCTGGGAGGTGGAGGCTGCAGTGAGCCGTGATCACGCCATTGCACTCCAGCCTGGCAACAGTGAGACACTCTGTTAAAAAAAAAAAAAAAAGTGATAAATGCTGTGGTAGAGGAAAGTTCTGGCTGAGGGATCTTGGTGGGAAGAGCATATCAGCTTATGAGTAGCAGCGTTGCTGATTGCCACTGAACTCAGGCTGGAAAAGTTAGCAAGTTTTCACCAAGTCAGGTCCTGGACTAGAATAAACAAAGGCTCACTGCTTGAGAGAAGTTGGCTGAAGGGTATAGTGTTAAGGGGGATGTGACTACATGGCAAGGGCCAAGTCACAAGGAATGAGATTCTTGTTGAAGGGGTTGGACATTATCCCTAGGGTAATAGGGTTTTTTTGTTTGTTTGTTTGAGACAGCGTCTCCCTCTGTTGTCCAGGCTGGAGTGCAATGGCATGATCTCGGCTCACTGCAACCTCCGCCTCCCGGGTTCAAGCAATTCTCCTGCCTCAGCCTCCTTAGTAGCTGGGATTACAGGCATGCGCCACCATACCTGGCTAATTTTTTTGTTTTTTGTAGAGACAGGGTTTCACCATGTTGGTCAGGCTGATCTCGAACTCCAGACCTCGTGATCTGCCCGCCTGAGCCTCCCAAAGTGCTGGGATTACAGGCGTGAGCCACTGTGCCCGGCCTATGAAGGGTTTTTTTCCCTTCCCATGAAGAATTTTAAGATAAAACATCACATTGGCCAGGCACAGTGACTCATACCTGTGATCCCAGCACTTTGGGAGGCTGAGGTGGGAGGATCACTTGAGCCCAGGAGTTGACCAGCCTGGGCAACATGGTAAGACCCTATCTCTACAAAAAAGAAAAAAATAACAGTAATCACATTAATGTTTTAGTTAGAGCTGTCTTGCTGCAATGTGGAGAAGGGATAGTAGGGAGACACAGGAGGCTGGGAGGACAGTGAGAAGGCTGCCTCAGTGATCCTGGAGAAGGGATGAGGTCTGAACTGAGATAAGGGGCTATGGGGATGAAGGTGGAAGAATAACTCAACTTTTTTTAAAAATTAACATATTCCTTTATTCGTTTGGTCAGTATGTGAACCTCAAATATATGCTAGGTGCTGAGGATATCATGAAGAAAACAGAATTCCCTGACCTCAATGAGCTCACATTCTACTCGGAGGGGATAAACCATAAATACGTGTAGAATTTCAGATGCTGATGAGTTGTGCTATGGAAGAAATTAAGGAAGTGAGGGGAAATTTTTCCAGGGGGTGTGGTGGTGGGAGGTGCTGAACTAGTAAAGTAGGGGATTGCAGGAAGCCTTGCTGATGTTACAGTTGAGCTTCAATATGAAGGTGATGGAGATCCATTTCGGCATCGGGAACTGAAGCTGACAGAGGAGATGGCAAATGCAAAGGTCCTGAGGCAGAACTGCTGTGGATGGAACAGAGTTAGGGAAGCAAAGAAGTGGCAGCTAGATGAATCAGAAGGGGAAGAGGCAGATAGTGTGCAGGGCCATGTAGAGCCAATGCAAGAACTTTTACTCTGAGATGAGAAACCAGTGGACGGGTTTTGTTTCTTTTTGAGACAGAGTCTTGCTCTGTTGCCTAGGCTGGAGTGCAGTAGCACGATCTCAGCTCACTGTAGCCTCTGCCTCCTGGCTTCAAGCAATTGTCCAGTCTCAGCCTCCTCAGTAGCTGGGACTACAGGTACACATCGCCACGCCTGGCTAAATTTTGTAATTTTTAGTAGAGTTGGGGTTTCAGCATGTTGGCCAGGCTGGTCTCCAATTCCTGACTTCAACTGATTCTCCAGCCTCAGCCTCCCAAAGTGCTGGGCTTACAGGTGTGAGTCATCGTGCCTGGCATTTTTTTTTTTTTTTTTGAGAGGGAGTCTTGCTCTGTTGCCCAGGCTGGAGTGCAGTGGTGCAATCTCGGCTCACTGCAACCTCTGCCTCCTGGGTTCGAGTGATTCTCCTGCCTCAGCCTCCCAGGTATCTGGGATCACAGGCGCCCGCCACCACTCCCGGGTAACTTTTGTATTTTCAGTAGAGACGGCGTTTCGTCATATTGGCCGGGCTGGTCTTGAACTCCTGACCTTAGGTGATCCACCTGCCTTGACCTCCCAAAGTGCTGGGATTACAGGTGTGAACCACTGGGCCCAGCCTCCCCTCCTCCACTCCGAAGGATTATTTGCTTAATTATTCAGTCGTAAGATTTAGTTACAGGCTTTGAAAGGAGGAGTAATGAAATCTCAGTTGGACTCAGCTAAGCAAAAAAGGGAAAATAAGTATTATCTCCATTTTACAGATGAGGTAATGCCTAATGATGACAATATGTGCGGCCAAGCTAGGATTCAAGTCAAGTTTGACTCCAGCAGCCGTGCTCTTAGTCGTAACCATGAATGGACAGTGGTTCCCTGAACTCTTCCTCCAGCTTGGTCCCCTGTCCCCAATTTTCAATTACTAAATATCCCATCAAACTGGGGCCAGCCCCACGCTCCTGGCCAAACTTCCACCGAGGTGCCGGCAGATGGCGATGGAGCCACCGACGGGCCACTCTGTCTGGCGCACGCATCTCTGTGCTGCCAGGTCGCAGGCGCCGCCGCCGCCGCACTTCCGGGTGCCATTGCAGGTGAGCCAGGGTCTCCCGAGAACCTCACCCCCCGGTATTCCCCTCACCCTGAAGTAAGGGAGTCTCCCTCTTCCCCTCAGCTCCTAACCAAGGTGCTCAGTACCGCGGCTAGGGTGCCCAGCGGGAGGCTGGGTAGTTACCGGAGGAGGCAGAGCCGGTCGCACGCCTGGGTCCCAGCGGAGGCCCAGTCGACTCTCGACCCGGGCCCCAGCCTCCTTGCGTGGCGAAGGTCGTGCCTCAGGTCTCCTGGCGAACCTGGCCGCCCGGAAGCGGAGAGTGACTCCTCCCCTTCGTCCCCTCGGTGCCCGCCAGGCGGCGCCGTCGGCTGGGCCCGGATTCCCCTGCGGCTTCGATCCCTTTCCACTGGGTATTGAGATTGGCGAGGGGAGAGGCGCAGAAACGGCGTGTAAGAGAGCCTGACTACCAATTGGAATAAGTTTCCCTCCTGACTGTTCACATGTACAGGCAGCATTAGCATTTCCTGCCTGTACATGTGAACGTTCCTATGCTCTACCCCTCGAAGATCCTGATTCAGTAGATCTGGGGTGGGACCTCATGAAACGGCGTCTCCCTCTGTTGTCCAGACTCTAGTGCAGTGGTTCAATCTCGGCTCACTGCAACCTCCGCCTCCCCGATTCAAGCGATTCTCCTGCGTCAGCCTCCCCAGTAGCTGAGACTACAGGTGCCCGCCACCCATTTTTGTATTTTTAGTAGGGACGGGGTTTCGCCATTTTGGCCAGGCTGGTCTCGAACTCCTCACCTCAGGTGATCCGCCCGCCTCGGCCTCCCAAAGTGCTGGGATTACAGGCGTGAGCCACCATGCCCAGCCTGGAAATAGGAGGAGAGTAATATTGCGAGGGGTTGGCTGTGAAATGGTTTATCTCCAGGAAGGTTTCCGGGAGGAAGTGATTCTAGCTGGGCTTGTATTCAGGGACCAGAATATCCACTGGTTCTTTGCCCCACAGTAATGAATTTACTTCCCCACCCCTATCAGGATGCAGAAAGCCTCAGTGTTGCTCTTCCTGGCCTGGGTCTGCTTCCTCTTCTACGCTGGCATTGCCCTCTTCACCAGTGGCTTCCTGCTCACCCGTTTGGAGCTCACCAACCATAGCAGCTGCCAAGAGCCCCCAGGCCCTGGGTCCCTGCCATGGGGGAGCCAAGGGAAACCTGGGGCCTGCTGGATGGCTTCCCGATTTTCGCGGGTTGTGTTGGTGCTGATAGATGCTCTGCGATTTGACTTCGCCCAGCCCCAGCATTCACACGTGCCTAGAGAGCCTCCTGTCTCCCTACCCTTCCTGGGCAAACTAAGCTCCTTGCAGAGGATCCTGGAGATTCAGCCCCACCATGCCCGGCTCTACCGATCTCAGGTTGACCCTCCTACCACCACCATGCAGCGCCTCAAGGCCCTCACCACTGGCTCACTGCCTACCTTTATTGATGCTGGTAGTAACTTCGCCAGCCACGCCATAGTGGAAGACAATCTCATTAAGCAGCTCACCAGTGCAGGTCAGTGTGGGCCACTTTGAAGGCCAGAAGTACCTTGGCAAATTTCTTCAAAATTTGAAGTCAGGGAGTCAGACCTTTGGGTGCCCAGATGCACACTTGATTATGGTGTAGGGGGACAGAGGAGAAGAAAGAGGCCAGGGCCCTGCTGGTAGGGAGCTCAGTTTGGGGGACAGAGGAGAAGAAAGAGGCCAGGGCCCTGCTGGTAGGGAGCTCAGTTTGGGAGACAGAGGAGAAGGGATCTGGGCTTTGTTCCTATGAAGCTTCTAATCTGAATGGAGTGTAAGTTTTATTCTTGGAGACCTCTCAGTAAAAGGGAGAAGGGAAGAAGAGAAGATGTGGATCTTGGCTTGCAAGTGTGGAGAAGAAAGCAGAGAAATACAGGCCCTGTTCATTCACTGACTGGGAAGAAGCAGGATACACCCAGGAAAAACAACTCAGTAGAGATACCCAGAGACAGAACTAGGAGAGCATTTTGTAGGAAGGATAAGTGTGAGGTCTGGGTGGAGTACGGTTATCAGGGAAAGCTTCCTGGTGGAAAATGTTAGGCCCTGAAGGATAAGGATTGCTGTATGGAATTGCTGTACTTTAGGTTGCATGGTTGGGACTTCTGATGGGTCTTTAAAGGGCCTCTTTTCCTCTTTTCTCCTAACCCTGACGTTTGCTCAGGCTCTGACTTCTCTTTCATGTCCCTGCAGGAAGGCGTGTAGTCTTCATGGGAGATGATACCTGGAAAGACCTTTTCCCTGGTGCTTTCTCCAAAGCTTTCTTCTTCCCATCCTTCAATGTCAGAGACCTAGACACAGTGGACAATGGCATCCTGGAACACCTCTACCCCACCAGTGAGCATGGGGCCAGAGCACTTAGTTCTAAGACTGGGAGCTGGGGAGAACTGCTTTAGTCCACAAATTCTGAGCCACCTATGGGTGTAACAGCCTGGGCTTGTATCCCTGGACATAGAGGAGTGTCAAAGCCTGGCTGGGGTTGAGGAGTGGGTCTTAGTCTTCTGTGCTCAGTGTTCTCCCCTTCACAGTGGACAGTGGTGAATGGGACGTGCTGATTGCTCACTTCCTGGGTGTGGACCACTGTGGCCACAAGCATGGCCCTCACCACCCTGAAATGGCCAAGAAACTTAGCCAGATGGACCAGGTGATCCAGTGAGTGTGGGGTATTGGCTGGGGGAGTGGGTTTGTGTCTGAGAATCTCGAAGAAGCTCTTATCTTAGAGCTTCTTTCCTGGCTGAATTCTGTCTTCTCTAGGCCTTCTGCTGAAGCTAGAGGCTCCATCCATCTTGATTAACTCAATGTGTAGCTTTGGGCATCAGGATCATGGCCGAAGACATGTCTCTTTGCCAAAGGTCTAGGCCTTACTAATGGAGTTATAGCTGGGGATGAATAGGCCCCTGGAGAAAAATCTTTTTTCTTTTTGAGAAAAATATTTATCCGTTTCTACTCCTGACACATTTATTGGCCCCCAGGGGACTTGTGGAGCGTCTGGAGAATGACACACTGCTGGTAGTGGCTGGGGACCATGGGATGACCACAAATGGAGACCATGGAGGGGACAGTGAGCTGGAGGTCTCAGCTGCTCTCTTTCTGTATAGCCCCACAGCAGTCTTCCCCAGCACCCCACCAGAGGTGAGGCCTGGGATGTTCCTCATCTGTTCTCCCAGTAATCAGCCCATGTTACCATTACAGCATCCTCATGAATACCTCTATTTTAGGCCCCCAAATCCATGATCCTGGGTATCCTCCACTCTCATTTCTTACCTAGGCCCCTATGTCTGCCATCCCAAACATTGACTTCAGCTTTGTGATGAATCTGTTGACCACTGTCATTTTCCTTTAGGAGCCAGAGGTGATTCCTCAAGTTAGCCTTGTGCCCACGCTGGCCCTGCTGCTGGGCCTGCCCATCCCATTTGGGAATATCGGGGAAGTGATGGCTGAGCTATTCTCAGGGGGTGAGGACTCCCAGCCCCACTCCTCTGCTTTAGCCCAAGCCTCAGCTCTCCATCTCAATGCTCAGCAGGTAGGTAAGCGGGCTGGGTTTCCAGGTGACAGAGCTAGGGTGGGCATGAAAGAAGCATAATGAACCACTCTTTTGTCCTTTGACTAGTCTTAGTCCCACCTTCCATACCTATCCCTCTTCCGTTATCCCTCCCTTCCCCGATTCTGGACAGAGTTTGGGTCCTTGACTTCCAGGTACCCCCTTTTGTAATACCTATTCTTGCCTCTGCCCCAATTTATGTCTCTGACCTGTTCCCCTTGGCCTCTGACCTTTTCTCTGCCAGGTGTCCCGATTTCTTCATACCTACTCAGCTGCTACTCAGGACCTTCAAGCTAAGGAGCTTCATCAGCTGCAGAACCTCTTCTCCAAGGCCTCTGCTGACTACCAGTGGCTTCTCCAGAGCCCCAAGGGGGCTGAGGCGACACTGCCGACTGTGATTGCTGAGCTGCAGCAGTTCCTGCGGGGAGCTCGGGCCATGTGCATCGAGTCTTGGGCTCGTTTCTCTCTGGTCCGCATGGCGGGGGGTACTGCTCTCTTGGCTGCTTCCTGCTTTATCTGCCTGCTGGCATCTCAGTGGGCAATATCCCCAGGCTTTCCATTCTGCCCTCTACTCCTGACACCTGTGGCCTGGGGCCTGGTTGGGGCCATAGCGTATGCTGGACTCCTGGGAACTATTGAGCTGAAGCTAGATCTAGTGCTTCTAGGGGCTGTGGCTGCAGTGAGCTCATTCCTCCCTTTTCTGTGGAAAGCCTGGGCTGGCTGGGGGTCCAAGAGGCCCCTGGCAACCCTGTTTCCCATCCCTGGGCCCGTCCTGTTACTCCTGCTGTTTCGCTTGGCTGTGTTCTTCTCTGATAGTTTTGTTGTAGCTGAGGCCAGGGCCACCCCCTTCCTTTTGGGCTCATTCATCCTGCTCCTGGTTGTCCAGCTTCACTGGGAGGGCCAGCTGCTTCCACCTAAGCTACTCACAATGCCCCGCCTTGGCACTTCAGCCACAACAAACCCCCCACGGCACAATGGTGCATATGCCCTGAGGCTTGGAATTGGGTTGCTTTTATGTACAAGGCTAGCTGGGCTTTTTCATCGTTGCCCTGAAGAGACACCTGTTTGCCACTCCTCTCCCTGGCTGAGTCCTCTGGCATCCATGGTGGGTGGTCGAGCCAAGAATTTGTGGTATGGAGCTTGTGTGGCGGCGCTGGTGGCCCTGTTAGCTGCCGTGCGCTTGTGGCTTCGCCGCTATGGTAATCTCAAGAGCCCCGAGCCACCCATGCTCTTTGTGCGCTGGGGACTGCCCCTAATGGCATTGGGTACTGCTGCCTACTGGGCATTGGCGTCGGGGGCAGATGAGGCTCCCCCCCGTCTCCGGGTCCTGGTCTCTGGGGCATCCATGGTGCTGCCTCGGGCTGTAGCAGGGCTGGCTGCTTCAGGGCTCGCGCTGCTGCTCTGGAAGCCTGTGACAGTGCTGGTGAAGGCTGGGGCAGGCGCTCCAAGGACCAGGACTGTCCTCACTCCCTTCTCAGGCCCCCCCACTTCTCAAGCTGACTTGGATTATGTGGTCCCTCAAATCTACCGACACATGCAGGAGGAGTTCCGGGGCCGGTTAGAGAGGACCAAATCTCAGGGTCCCCTGACTGTGGCTGCTTATCAGTTGGGGAGTGTCTACTCAGCTGCTATGGTCACAGCCCTCACCCTGTTGGCCTTCCCACTTCTGCTGTTGCATGCGGAGCGCATCAGCCTTGTGTTCCTGCTTCTGTTTCTGCAGAGCTTCCTTCTCCTACATCTGCTTGCTGCTGGGATACCCGTCACCACCCCTGGTAAATATCTCAGCTCTGATTCACTTAAAGACAATAGTGATGTGAGTTCGGCCCCTCTTGTTTTCAAGGAGGTGTTGCTCCTCATGTTCCTGAGCTTGACAGAGGGTCCCATGCCCCACACAACTAGGAAGGTCTTCTTGGTGTCCTCTCTCTTACCTGCCATAGCCAAGCAAATTGATCCCTCCTGTTGGTTCCCAGGGTTCATGGAGAGGAGAGACAAGGAGTCCTCTAAGACTCCCTGTGGAAATGCTGCATCCTCATGAGCACATTTCTTGATTTTCCAGTGATGGAAGTAGTAAATTGTGAATATATAATGGCACTGAGCTGTATGTGTTTGAGAGAAAGAAAGAGATTGGCCATAGCAGGATTCAGATAAGCCTGATGGCGCTTTTGTACCACAGAGAGAATTAGAATAACAGAATGTTGACTGTAAGGAGGTTGGGCTGATAGGCATTTGAGTGTGTATGAGAATTGATACTGAAGTAGTAGGAGTATATGATTGTGGAGCAGTAGCCTATGGATTAGGGAATAAGAAGTGACTGTAACGTGGCATATCTTTTCTTCCAGGTCCTTTTACTGTGCCATGGCAGGCAGTCTCGGCTTGGGCCCTCATGGCCACACAGACCTTCTACTCCACAGGCCACCAGCCTGTCTTTCCAGCCATCCATTGGCATGCAGCCTTCGTGGGATTCCCAGAGGGTCATGGCTCCTGTACTTGGCTGCCTGCTTTGCTAGTGGGAGCCAACACCTTTGCCTCCCACCTCCTCTTTGCAGGTACCCCCTCCTCCTTCACTTGCTTCCATTGTTTACTCTGGCTTTGTGGAAAGAAAGGAAACCCCTGGATTTGAATGGAGAGATATGGGTTTGTTGGATCTTTGGCACCCCTTGGCCTAGGCTAATTGGAACCTGAGCCAGCCAGGGTGGCCTGTTGATTCCAGCCATACCCTCTCTTGAGGCAGTAGGTTGCCCACTGCTCCTGCTCTGGCCTTTCCTGTGTGAGAGTCAAGGGCTGCGGAAGAGACAGCAGCCCCCAGGGAATGAAGCTGATGCCAGAGTCAGACCCGAGGAGGAAGAGGAGCCACTGATGGAGATGCGGCTCCGGGATGCGCCTCAGCACTTCTATGCAGCACTGCTGCAGCTGGGCCTCAAGTACCTCTTTATCCTTGGTATTCAGGTGGGTGTAGGAGAGAGATCAGGGAGTTGGTGTTTTTTCTCTGTGTGTGCATCACTTTCTTTCAGACCTTCAAAACCGTGGGAGAGAGCCTTGACTGAGTTTCACATAAGTGAAGTGGTTGCCCAAGCCCAGTGGCCTCAAATGGCAGTTCTGAGACTTGAACCTGGGTCTCCTTAATCCTAGTCCTGGATCATTTCCCCTCTACAACCTAGATCTGGACCCCGCTAGTTGCATTTGAGGATTACTCTATCAGTGGACAGACTGGAAAAACTGAGGTGATAGCCAGGATTTTCTTCCCAAACTGTGGTCATGGATCCTCTTCCTTTCCTCCAGAGGCAGATGTGGCACTGATATCTTCCTCCATCCTGGGGGCACAGCCTGAGTGTTAGCATTGCAGATGGATACTGACTTGCCCAAAGTCACATAGTGAGTCAGTGCTTGGGGCAGGGCAGGAAGTAGGTCTCCTAACTCCTAGCCCAGGACATGCAATATTTTTTCCACTGACATGCACTATTCTCCTGCTTCCATTTTTTACAGGGGCCTATAGAAACTCTCCTTTTGCTCCGCTTCCTCCTCTCCTTCACAAGTAACGTGGCCCCTCCTCTCCTCCTCTAGATTCTGGCCTGTGCCTTGGCAGCCTCCATCCTTCGCAGGCATCTCATGGTCTGGAAAGTGTTTGCCCCTAAGTGAGTAGATTTGCTTGAGAAGTAGAGGTGGTGGGGAGGGAGAAACTTGGAACAAAGTATGAAGATCCTAAACATCCAGGATGGCCAAGGTTTTGCCTCTACAGGGAAAAGGCAGTAGACCTACTCTGTTGCCTGAGATTCTCCGCCTTTCTTTGCAGGTTCATATTTGAGGCTGTGGGCTTCATTGTGAGCAGCGTGGGACTTCTCCTGGGCATAGCTTTGGTGATGAGAGTGGATGGTGCTGTGAGCTCCTGGTTCAGGCAGCTATTTCTGGCCCAGCAGAGGTAGCCTAGTCTGTGATTACTGGCACTTGGCTACAGAGAGTGCTTGAGAACAGTGTAGCCTGGCCTGTACAGGTACTGGATGATCTGCAAGACAGGCTCAGCCATACTCTTACTATCATGCAGCCAGGGGCCGCTGACATCTAGGACTTCATTATTCTATAATTCAGGACCACAGTGGAGTATGATCCCTAACTCCTGATTTGGATGCATCTGAGGGACAAGGGGGGCGGTCTCCGAAGTGGAATAAAATAGGCCGGGCGTGGTGACTTGCACCTATAATCCCAGCACTTTGGGAGGCAGAGGTGGGAGGATTGCTTGGTCCCAGGAGTTCAAGACCAGCCTGTGGAACATAACAAGACCCCGTCTCTACTATTTAAAAAAAAGTGTAATAAAATGATAATATAATTATGTGTGTCTGAGATGTGGGGGAGCCCCACTGTTCTATAGGGGTTGTGAGGAGGATCAGTCTCTCCTGCCACCAGGCACAGATGAGATCAGTCATCTTAGGAAAGCCTGGCTGCACCTGAGAACCTTTATGAAGTGGTTGGAGTTGTCTGAATTCACTGCCTCCACCTCTTCCCAAATCAATCCTATTATCCCACCGCTATTTTCCTTTGCCATGCAACACATTTTGTTAAGTTCCTGTTCTTTGTCTGATAAAGAGAGAAGACTGAGAAGACAAGCCCAGGCATCATGCAGCACCGACTTTAACTGTCTGAAGCCCCAAATAGTGCTATGCCCCCGCTCCACTGGGCCTTTTCACTATAGAACACCCTTTGCCCTTCCCTTCTGTGGAAGCCTCCCTTGTTTCCCAACCTGTGCCACTCTTTATCAGATCTACATGCCCATCTTATGTAGCATTCCACCTTGTCCCATTCATTATTCCTGACTTGAAGCCAAAATTGTGTGAATCCACTGGTTCTTTTCTCATGTGTATGTTTTGTGCCCTCTGTTCACCCCAGCACTCCTGTCATGTTTGAAATGCTGGCATGAAATCCTCCTAGAGATGTCCATCAAAAGAGTTGGGAAGAGGCCCTGGAGAGAAGCATCAGGACTGGGATTTGAGGTTTGACAGTACCTAGAACAAGAGGAGCTGATACCACTGAAAAACAGAACAGATGTTAAAACCATGGGATAGCACCTACTTTTAGCTGGCATAAAGTAGAGAAGCTGAGTAGTAGTGGTTGTGAAGTATAAACGTTCACTGCTGTGGTAGGTAGCTAAGGGAAGAATTGAAATTATTTTTATTGTTACTATCATTTTAAAGACATATTTTTGCTCTATTGTCCAGGCTGGAGGGCAGTGGTGCAATCATAGCTCCCTGTAGTTTCAAACTCCTGGGCTCAAGTGATCCATCTCAGCCTCCTCAGTATCTGGGACCATGCCTGGCTAATTTTTAAATTTCTGTACAGACAGAGTCTTGCTACATTGCCCAGGCTGTTCGTGAACTCCTGGCCTCAAGCGATCCTTCCACCTTGGCCTCTCAAAGCACTAGGATTACAGGTGTGAGCCACAGCACCTGGCTAAGTTCAGATTATTAATGGCCAGTGGTCCCTAGTGTTACAGATGCCAAATAGTAAGATGATGAAAAGTATGGTTCAGCTGGGTGTGGTGCCTCATGCCTGTAATCTCAGCACTTTGGGGAGCCAAGGCGGGTGGATCACCTGAGGTCAGGAGTTTGAGACCAGCCTGGCCAACATGGCAAAACCCCATCTCTACTAAAAATACAAAAATTAGCCAGGTGTGGTGGTGTGCACCTGTAATTCCGGCTACTCAGGAGGCTGAGGCAGGAGAATCGCTTGAACCTGGGAGGCAGAGGTTACAGTGAGCCAAGATCACGCTACTGCACTCCAGCCTGGGAGACAGAGCCAGACTCTCTCTCAAAAAAAAAAAAAAAAAAAAAGGGATAGGTTGTTAACCATGGTAGAAAGAGGTTTAATAATGCAAGGGGGTGAAGTTGGCCCCAGCTGGCCTGTAAGATGAATTAGAAAAACGCTTCTCCCCAAGTCTGGTGGACACAACTCCCAAGCATAGTTCGGTGAGCAAATGGTGTCTTTTTGAGAAAGGGGAAAAAAACCAAAACAAAAACCTTTCCTCCATCCCTAGCACCCATGGAAGGATTTTAGGCCCTAGTTCCTCCACTTCTCAGCCAGGTACCCTGCACTTTTTGCAGTAGCCTCCTTGCCTGGAGCCTAAGGCTAATTTGCTGATCTGCCAACCACTGTCTATTCTTTCTCCTGGTGTATCTATAAGATTCTATTAGATAAAGACATTAGTACATTGATTTACGCTATTAAAAATTATTTCTAGCCAGGCACTGTGGCATGTCCCTATAGTCCCAGCTACTTGGGAGGCAGAGGTGGGAGGATCACTTGAGGATAGCAAGACTCCGTCTCTACAAAAATAAAAAAATTAGCCAGGCATGGTCCCAGCTATGTAGAGGCTGAGGTGGATCACTTGAGCCCAGGAGTTAGAGGCTGTAGTGCACAATGAATGCACCTGTGAATAGCCACTGCACTCCAGCCTGGGCAACATAGATCCTCTCTCTTTTAAAAAGAAAAATTATCTTATCCCTCCCTTTTCCTTGAAATCAGAGTCCATTCCACACTAACTCAATGATTCTTTTTTTTTTTCCTTTAATTTTTTGTAGAGGTGGGGGTCTTGCTGTCTTGCCTAGGCTGGTCTTGAACTCCTGGCCTCAAGCCATCCTCCTGCCTCGACCTCCTCAAGTGTTGGGATTGCAGGTGTGAGCCATTGCACCCAGCCCTGATTCTTTTTTAAAAAAGCTTTATTGAAATGCAATTTACCATAAAATTTACCCATGTAAGGTGTAAGATTTAATGGTTTTTGTGTATTTACAGAATTGTACAACCATCACCAGAATCAATTTTAGAACATTTTCACCAACCCCAAAAGAAAATCTACTGTTTAGATATCACCCTCCAATCCTCCCCAACCCCTGGCTAGCACTAATCTGCTGTTTCTCTATATATTTGCCCATTTTGGATATTTCACAGAAATGGGATCATAATAATATGTGGTCTTTTGTGACTGGCATCTTCCACTTAGTATAATGTTTTCCGGTTTCATCTATATAGCAGCACACAGCAGTACTTCATTCTTTTTCTTTTTTAAAATTGAAGTAAAATTCATATAAAATTCACCATTTTAAAGTGTATAATTTAGTGGCCGTTAGTACATTCACAACGTTGTACAATTATCATCATTATCAATTCCAGAATGTTTTCATTACCCCAAAAAGAAACCCTGTACCCTTAAGCAGTCATTCCTTCTCTTCTCCCCCTTAACTCCTGGTACCACTAATTTGTTTTCTGTCTCTATAGATTTGCCTGTTCTGGACATTTCATATAAATGGGCTCATACAGTAGTGCCTTTTTCTGTCTTATCTTCCTTTACTCAGCCTAATGTTTTCAGAGTTCATCTATGTTGTAGCATGTATTGGTACTTCATTCCTCTTTATGGCCAAATAATACTCTATTGCATGGATATACCACATTTTGTTTATCCATTCATCCATTGATAGCCATTTGGATTTACACATTTTGGTTATTATGTAATGCTGCTATAAACATTTGTGTATAAGTTTTTGTTTGGACATATGTTTTAATTTCTCTTGAGTGTATACCTAGCTGTACACTGAGCAACTGCTGGGTCATAAGGTAACTCTGTTTAATCTTTTAAGGAACTGCCAGTTTGTTTTCCAAAGTTGCTGTATCGTTTTACAGTCTTACCAGAAGTATATATGGGTAACGATTTCTCCACATCCATGTCAACACTTGTTGTCATCTGTCTTTGATTCTAACCATCCTAGTGGGTGTGAAGTAATATCTCATTGTGGTTTTGGTGTGCATTTCCTTAATGATTAATGATGCTGAGCTGAGCATCTTTTCTTGTGCTTACTGGAGAAATGTCCCTTCAGATTCTTTGACTATTTTTAATTGGATTATTGTTATTATTATTATTTTTGGACCAGGGTCTTGCTCTGTCACCCAGGCTATAATGCAGTGGCGTGATCATGGCTCACTGAAGCCACAGCTTCCTGGGTTCAAGCAGTCCTCCTGTCTCAGCTTCCTGAGTAACTGGGACTACAGGTGTGCACCACCATGGCCGACTAATTTTTTATTTTATTGTAGAGACAGGGCCCCACTATGTTGCCTAGGCTGGTCTTGAACTCCTGGGCTCAGGCAATCCTCCTGCTTCAGCCTCCCAAAGTGCTGGGATTACAGGTGTAAGCCACTGTGCCTGGCTAGCATTCTTTTTACATGCTAGATACAGGTCCCTGAACAGATATATGATATGATATGATATATGATTTACAAATGATATATGACTTACAAATATTTTCTCCACTCTGTGGGTTGTCTTTTCATTTTCTTGATAATATCCTTTAATGCACAAACATTCTTTTTTTTTTTTTTTTTTTTGAGACGGAGTCTTGCTCTGTCGCCAGGCTGGAGTACAGTGGCACTATCTCGGCTCACTGCAACCTCCGCCTCCTGGGTTCAAGTGATTCTCCTGCCTCAGCCTCCTGAGTAGCTGGGACTACAGGCGTGCATCACCACGCCCAGCTAATTTTTGTATTTTTAGTAGAGACGGGGTTTCACCATGTTGGACAGGATGGTCTCAATCTCTTGACCTTATGATCCGCCCGCCTTGGCCTCCCAAAGTGCTGGGATTACAGGCATGAGCCACCGCGCCTGGCCTACACAAAAATTCTTAATTTTGAGAAAGTCCAGTTCATCCTGTTTTTTTCTTTCATTGCTTATGCTTTTGGTGTCATATGAAATAAATTATTGCAAAATGCCACAACTTAATTTTAGAACATTTCTATCATCCCCCCAAAATTCCCTACATTGACTCCCTAATCCTACCCCAGGCCAATGATCTGTTTTCGGTCTTTTATTTATTTATTTATTTATTTATTTATTTATTTATTTATTTATTTAGAGATGGAGTTTCACTCTGTTGCCCAGGCCGGAGTGCAGTGGCGTGATCTCTGCTCACTGCAGCCTCTGCCTCCTGGGTTCAAGTGGTTCTCCTGCCTCAGCCTCCCAAGTAGCTGGGACTATAGGCATGTGCCACCACGTCCGGCGAGATGGGGTTTCACTATGTTAGCCAGGCTGGTCTCCTGCCCTCTGGTGATCCGCCCACCTCAGTCCCCCAAAGTGCTGGGATTACAGGCATGAGCCTGGCCTGTTTTCAATCTTTTTTTTTTTTTTTTTTTTTTTTTTGAGACAGTCTTGCTCTGTCGCCCAGGCTGGAGTGCAGTGGCGCGATCTCGGCTCACTGCAACCTCAGCCTCCTGGGTTCAAGGGATTCTACTGCCTCGGCCTCCCGAGTAGCTGGGATTACAGGTGTGCACCACGACGCCTGGCTAATTTTTGTATTTTTAGTAGAGACGGGGTTTCACCATGTTGGCCAGGATGGTCTCAATCTCTTGACCTCGTGATCCGCCCACCTTGGCCTCCCAAAGAGCTAGGATTACAGGCATGAGCCACTGTACCCAGCCTGTTTTCAATCTTTATAAGTTTGTAATCCTAGCACTTTGGAAGGCCGAGGCCAGTGGATTGCCTGAGCTCAGGAGTTCGAGACCAGCCTGGGCAACATGGTGAAACCCCGTCTCTACTAAAATACAAAAAAGTTAGCTGGGCGTGGTGGTGTGCACCTGTAATCCCAGTTACTCGGGAGGCTGAGGTAGGAGAATTGCTTGAACCCAGGAGGCGGAGGTTGCAGTGAGCCGAGATTGCGCCACTGCACTCCAGCCCGGGCAACAGAGCGAGACTCCGTCTCAAAAAAAAAAAAGTTTGTTGGTGCACTCTTTTGCCCCTTTTCATTGCTAAATCATTGGCTTTGACCAACTGATGGACATTTTGATTGTTTTCAGTTTTTAGCTATTATGAACATTTTTAGCTACTATGAGTATTTGCAACAAATCTCAGTGTGGACGTATGTTTTCATTTCTCTTGGGAGTATTCTTTGGAGTGGAATTGCTGAGTCTTATGGTAAATTTGTGATTGACTTTTTTTTCTTTTTTTTTTTTTGAGATGGAGTCTTGCTCTGTCACCCAGGCTGGAGTGCAGTGGCGGGGTCTTGGCTCACTGCAAGCTCCACTTCCTGGGTTCACGCCATTCTCCTGCCTCAGCCTCTTGAGTAGCTGGGACTACAGGTGCCCGCCACCACGCCTGGCTAATTTTTTGTATTTTTAGTAGAGACGGGGTTTCACTGTGTTAGCCAGGATGGTCTCGATCTACTGACATCGTGATTCACCTGCCTTGGCCTCCCAAAGTGCTGGGATTACAGGAATAAGCCACTGCGCCCGGCCTATGATTAACTTTTTAAGAAACTGCCAAACTTTTCTGAAGTGAGTGTACTATTTTATATTCCCACCAGCAGTGTATGAGGGTTCCTCATACACATCCTCACCAACACTTGGTATAATCTGTTTTTATTGTAGTCATTTTATGTATGTATGTGTATAGTGTTTTTATTTTTATTTATTTATTTTTGAGACAGAGTCTCACTCTGTCACCCAGGCTGGAGTGCAGTGGCATGGTCTCAGCTCACTGCAACCTCCGTTTCCCAGGTTCAAGTGATTGTCATGCCTCAGCCTCCTGAGTAGCTGGGATTACAGGTGTCTGCCACCATGCCCAGCTAATTTTTGTATTTGCAGTAGAGACAGGGTTTTGCCCTGTTGGCTTGGCTGGTCTCAAACTCCTGGCCTCAAGTGATCCACCTGCCTCAGCCTCCCAAAGTGCTGGGATTAAAGGTGTGAGCCACCACGCCCGGCTGTGTGAAGCGTTTTTTTATTTTTTGAGACGAAGTCTCGCTGTGTCACCTAGGCTAGAGTTCAGTGGCAGGATCTCGGCTCACTGCAACCTCCACCTTCCGGGTTCAAGCCATTCTCCCACCTCAGCTTCCCAGGTAGCTGGGATTACAGGCATGCACCACCATGCCTGCCTAATTTTTGTATTTTTAGTAGAGACGAGGTTTCACCAAGTTGGCCATGCTGGTCTTGAACTCCTGACCTCAAGTGATCCATCCACCTCAGCCTCCCAAAGTGCTGGGATTACAGGCATAACATGGCCCGGCCCTGGCCATGTTTTTAACTGTGTTTCTCTAATAGCTAATAATGCCGAGCATCTTTTTATGTGTTTCTTAGCCATTAGTAGATCTTTTTTGGTAAAATGTCTTTTTTTTTTTTTTTGGTCCATCTTAAAATTGTTTTTTGTTTTGTTTTGAGACAGGGTCTCACTTTGTTGCCCACGCTGGAGTGCAGTGGCTCAATCATGGCTCACTGCAGCTTCGACATCCCTGAGCTCAGGTGATCCTCCCACCTAAGTTTCCCGAGTAGATGGGACTACAGGTGTGTGCCACCATGCCCAGCTAATTTTTGTATTTTTTTTGTAGAGGTGGGGTTTTGCTATGTTGCCCAGGCAGGTCTTAAACTTCTGAGGCTCAAATGATCCTCCCACCTCAGCCTCCCAAAGTGCTGGGATAACAGGCATGAACCACCACACCCAGCTAAGATTGTTTTTAAAAATCTTTTTCTTGAGTTTTGGGAGTTTTTATGTGTTAGGGATACCAGTCCCTTATGAGGTATATAATTAGCAAGTAGTTTCTCCCACTCTGTGACTGTGACCTTTCTTTTTTTGAGGCAGGGTCTCACTCTGTTACTCAGGCTGGAGGGCAGTGGTGTGATCATGGCTCACTGCAACCTGGAACTCCTAGGCTCAAGGGCTCCTCCCACCTCAGCCTCCCAAGTAGCTGGGTCTACAGGTGTGTTATTGTGCCAGGGTTAATGTTTTAAATTTTTTGTAGAGATAATGTCTCTACAAAAGACACCATCTTTGTTGCCTAGGCTGGTCTTGAACTCCTGGCTTCAGGGAATCCTCCAGCCTCAGCCTCCCAAAGTGCTGGGATTACAGCATGAGCCACATCCAGCCTATGATTTTTCTTCTTTTCTTTTCTTTTCTTTTCTTTTTTTTTTGAGATGGAGTCTCGCTGTTGCGCAGGCTGGAGTGCAGTGGGGCGATCTCGGCTCACTGCAGGCTCTGGCCCGCGGGGTTCACGCCTTTCTCCTGCCTCAGCCTCCCGAGTAGCTGGGACTACAGGCGCCCGCCACATCGCCCGGCTAATTTTTTGTATTTTTAGTAGAGACGGGGTTTCACCGTGTTAGCCATGATGGTCTCGATCTCCTGACCTCGTGATCCGCCCGCCTCGGTCTCCCAAAGTGCTGGGATCACAGGCGTGAGCCACGGCGCCCGGCCCCAGCGTATGACTTCTTAATGATGTCTTTGTAGTACAAGAGTTTTTAATTTTAATAAAGTTAACTTTTTTTTAAATTGTACAAGCTTTTAGTGCTGTGTCTAACAACTTGTTGCCAAACCCAAGGTCATAAAGCTGTTCTCTTACGTTTTCTTTTTTTTTTTTTTTTGAGACGGAGTCTCACTCTGTCACCCAGGCTGGAGTGCAATGGCACGATGTCGGCTCACTGCAACCTCCGCCACCCGGGTTCAAGCGATTCTTCCGCCTCAGCCTCCGGGGTAGCTGGGATTACAGGCGCACGACACCACGCCCTGCTAATTTTTGTATTTTTGTAGAGAAGGTTTCACCATGTTAGTTAGGCTGCTTTACGTTTTCTTTTAGAAGTTTTATATTTTTGGCTCTTATATTTAGTTTGTGATCCATTGAGTTGATTTTATGTACGTATGTATGGTCGCGTTCTTTTCTTTCCTGTCTTTTTTTTTTTTTTTTTTTGCATATGGATATTCAATTCTCCTAGCTCCATTTAATTTGAAATGATTGGGCAGGTACTTTTGAGCAGTGCAAGTACAGAGCGGCACTGCCAGCAGACTACACGCGGTAGAAAGCCGACCTTGGTGAGCGTGTTGGTGCTCGACAGTGAGCAGAGAAAGGATGGACGATTACGGAGCGCCCTCGTCTCCAGTTACCGCTTTCTGGAAACACCATCCGCCGGGGCGGAGCTGTTCCGCCCCGGTGCGGTACTACGACTCCCAGCATGCACCTCGCAGTCGGCCCTCGGTGGAAGCGGGAACCCAGGAGGACCTGGGGGTGTGGCAGCGAGGAAGGGCCGAGCCACGGACTGTGGGGCCGAAACTCGCTCCCGCCCACCCTTTCTCGAGGCTGTGGCCTCCGCGAGAGCCGAGCGGGCCGCACCGCCGGCCGTGCGACTGCCCCAGTCAGACACGACCCCGGCTTCTAGCCCGCCTAAGCCTGTTTGGGGTTGCTGACTCGTTTCCTCCCCGAGTTTCCCGCGGGAACTAACTCTTCAAGAGGACCAACCGCAGCCCAGAGCTTCGCAGACCCGGCCAACCAGAGGCGAGGTTGAGAGCCCGGCGGGCCGCGGGGAGAGAGCGTCCCATCTGTCCTGGAAAGCCTGGGCGGGTGGATTGGGACCCCGAGAGAAGCAGGGGAGCTCGGCGGGGTGCAGAAGTGCCCAGGCCCCTCCCCGCTGGGGTTGGGAGCTTGGGCAGGCCAGCTTCACCCTTCCTAAGTCCGCTTCTGGTCTCCGGGCCCAGCCTCGGCCACCATGTCCCGCCAGACCACCTCTGTGGGCTCCAGCTGCCTGGACCTGTGGAGGGAAAAGAATGACCGGCTCGTTCGACAGGCCAAGGTAACACGGTTGCTGGCACCCTCGGTTTGCAGCCTCAAGATCCCTGAAAGCGGGTTTGCAGTGGATTTACCCCAACCGATGGGGAGGGACTGAGCTTGACCAAAGAGCCAGAAATGACTGGAGAATGCATCCCTTGCCACTGCTGCAAGGGGAGAAAAAAGGATTGATCCTCAGTGACAACCCCTCCCTCATGTGGCAGGTGGCTCAGAACTCCGGTCTGACTCTGAGGCGACAGCAGTTGGCTCAGGATGCACTGGAAGGGCTCAGAGGGCTCCTCCATAGTCTGCAAGGTAGGCGGGTCCTCCCCAGGATGGTCAGTTCCCCTCTTCCATAGCCAGAGAAACATCCGCTCCTGCGTTTTTGGGATCGATATAATTACTCGGGGCAGGGAGTCCTGTTTAAGGCACAGAGGAGACTGGAGTGGAATCATCTTTGTACAGGCAAATCCCTCTCTTCCTTACACACTCACAGAGTGGCATTTGAAAAATGGTTTCCAAGATGGTCTGATCTGGATAACTTTTTTGCCCTTTCCAGACTCTCTGTCCAAAGGTTGGGTTCTTTTTTTAAATCCTTAGCTAATTGGCTGGAGGGTGGGTTCTTTATTGTAGCTGTTTTGGTTGGAGTGGGGTGATCTCTGAGTTGGGATTTTATTTGGAGGATCTTCCATGGGGGAGCAGTCTGTAAGACCAACATTGTTGCTCCAGGGCTCCCTGCAGCTGTTCCTGTTCTTCCCTTGGAGCTGACTGTCACCTGCAACTTCATTATCCTGAGGGCAAGCTTGGCCCAGGGTTTCACAGAGGATCAGGCCCAGGATATCCAGCGGAGCCTAGAGAGAGGTGAGGGCCAGAGATTGTCCCTGATTCCCCTGCCATCTTCAGTCTGGGTTTAAGTTATTGCAGGGAGATGGGAGGATAAACAACATCTGTCACCTCCATGGAGAGAGGTGCCCTTCTCTGTGCTCTTCAGACCAGGTTGAGGTATTATTATTGTGACCTTTGGGGTCCTGCAGGAGAGGAAAGCCAGAGTGTGTGGGGAGATGGAGGATGAGGTGCTACTTCAGCTGTGTGTGTGTCTATGTGTGTGTGTATACTCTACAGTGCTGGAGACACAGGAGCAGCAGGGGCCCAGGTTGGAACAGGGGCTCAGGGAGCTGTGGGACTCTGTCCTTCGTGCTTCCTGCCTTCTGCCGGAGCTGCTGTCTGCCCTGCACCGCCTGGTTGGCCTGCAGGCTGCCCTCTGGTTGAGTGCTGACCGTCTTGGGGACCTGGCCTTGTTACTAGAGACCCTGAATGGCAGCCAGGTAATAGGGAAAGTGACCTGAAGCTGAGGGTCTCCTCCTTCCTTCCTCCTCCTTTCTCTCCAGCTGCAGTAGCATCATCATGTACTGGACAGGCGGCTGGGTTGGTGGTCGGAAAACCTGGATTCTCTCTGGGACTCTTGGGTGACCTTGCCCTGGTTGGTCTCTCATTGTGGGGATTCTCTTAGGAGTGTTTTTTAAAAATTGGACAGGCATGGTGGCTCATACCTGTAATCTCAGCACTTTGGGAGGCTGAGGTAGGAGGATCACTTGAACCCAAGAGGTGGAGGCAACAGTGAGTTGTGAGCTATGATCACGCCACTGCACTCCAGCCCTGCAGCCTGGGTGACAGAGGGAGACCCTGTCTCAAAAAAAAAAAAAATTTTTTTTTGGATAGGGATAGGGCTCTTGTGATCTTGCTCAAGTCAGCTCTCAGCCTTAGTCTCCTTATTAGTAACTCAAATATGGTCCTTGCCCTGAGTGAGGAGGCACGCTGGAATAGATCATCACTGCCCCAGGTTTTTCTTCCTTTTTTTTAATTCTTGCCTCATAGCTATCTATCTCTTAGAATTGGGGGAAACTACAGGCATTATGCATAGCTTCTTGCTTTGTAAGGGTAGCTGAGGCCTGTGTCCTCAAGGATCAAGAGGACCCTTGAGCTCAAGGTCTAGCCAGGATAGATGGAGATAGGAGAAGACGAGGAGGTTGTAGGCTTGGAGCTTCTGGTTGTCCTTCTTTCCCCAGAGTGGAGCCTCTAAGGATCTGCTGTTACTTCTGAAAACTTGGAGTCCCCCAGCTGAGGAATTAGATGCTCCATTGACCCTGCAGGATGCCCAGGGATTGAAGGATGTCCTCCTGACAGCATTTGCCTACCGCCAAGGTCAGCTAGCAACCTGACTCATCTCTTCTACCTTTAAGTGGTCCTCCAGACTCATGCCCTCTCTCTTGTCCCATTCAGTTCCATGGGCTTCTTAGACCCTTGTTCCCCATCATGACCCCTGCTCTATAGCCCTCTCCAAGCTCACACCCTGACTGTCCTCAGGTCTCCAGGAGCTGATCACAGGGAACCCAGACAAGGCACTAAGCAGCCTTCATGAAGCGGCCTCAGGCCTGTGTCCACGGCCTGTGTTGGTCCAGGTGTACACAGCACTGGGGTCCTGTCACCGTAAGATGGTAAAGACAGTCCTAGGGTGGATTGGGGAAACCACAAGCATTATGTATAGCTTTTTGCTTTGTAAGGGTAGCTGAGGCCCGTGTCCTCCTATCCCTTTAGGGAAATCCACAGAGAGCACTGTTGTACTTGGTTGCAGCCCTGAAAGAGGGATCAGCCTGGGGTCCTCCACTTCTGGAGGCCTCTAGGCTCTATCAGCAACTGGGGGACACAACAGCAGAGCTGGAGAGTCTGGAGCTGCTAGTTGAGGTAGGGAACTGCCAGGTGAAGATGTGGGGTGGAGGATTCCTGAGGTGCTTGTGATGGGGTGACTTGACTAGTCAAGATCCAAGTATAAGGAAGTATGGCTCCCAAAGATTATAGATACAATTTTTTTCTTTCTCTTTTAGGCCTTGAATGTCCCATGCAGTTCCAAAGCCCCGCAGTTTCTCATTGAGGTAGAATTACTACTGCCACCACCTGACCTAGCCTCACCCCTTCATTGTGGCACTCAGAGCCAGACCAAGCACATACTAGCAAGCAGGTGCCTACAGACGGGGAGGTGAGGTTCCCCTTGCTCACCTGAGCTTCTCTTCCCACTTCTGATGCCTCCCCTGGGGTGTGACTCTGCTTTTGTTCTTGTGACTTGGGGGATGAATGAGGCAGTGGCAGGACATAGGTCGCCACTCCTCAGCCTCTTACCTTGCTTCTAGACCTGAACTGAGGACTCTTCTCTAAGACATTAACCTTCTCTATCTTTGACACTCTGAAGTCTCTTCCCCAGTCCATTCTGTAACTGGGGTAGATCCATACTGAGCCAAAATTGGAGCCCTAAGACCTTCCCTCCCTTTCTCCTCCTCAGGGCCCATGAACATCCATCTGTTAGCTAAGAGAGAACATTCTCAGGACCCTTGCAGGTTCCCTGCTAGGGCCTAGGGTGAGGCTTATGGGCTTTTACTCCTCAGGGCAGGAGACGCTGCAGAGCATTACTTGGACCTGCTGGCCCTGTTGCTGGATAGCTCGGAGCCAAGGGTGGGTGTGTCTTCAAGCTTCTCTGCAATGGGGTAGACGGGTTGGTGTCCCCTTTGAAATACAGCAAGACTGCAATTTTTTGTTTTTTCCTCTATTCTGTCTGTCCAGTCTGGGGGCCCAGGACTCTGCATGGTACCAGAGCCTGGTGAAGAGGTTGGGGATGGTGGCTCATGCCTTTCAAGACACTGCTTCTTCTTCCCACTCCAGTTCTCCCCACCCCCCTCCCCTCCAGGGCCCTGTATGCCTGAGGTGTTTTTGGAGGCAGCGGTAGCACTGATCCAGGCAGGCAGAGCCCAAGATGCCTTGACTCTATGTGAGGAGTTGCTCAGCCGCACATCATCTCTGCTACCCAAGATGTCCCGGCTGTGGGAAGATGCCAGAAAAGGAACCAAGGAACTGCCATACTGCCCACTCTGGGTCTCTGCCACCCACCTGCTTCAGGGCCAGGCCTGGGTTCAACTGGGTGCCCAAAAAGTGGCAATTAGTGAATTTAGCAGGTGAGCCCGGGGTCCTAGAGGGGGTGTGGAGGGATGATTTTCTGATTGGGACCTGAGTTGGTGAGCTCCATGTTCACCTACTTACCCTAGAGTTTCTGAAATTGATTCCTCTTCACCCCTGTTCTGTGTCCTACTTCAGGTGCCTCGAGCTGCTCTTCCGGGCCACACCTGAGGAAAAAGAACAAGGTGATCTAAACTTTCAGTTTTCCTCTTACCTCCTGGAAGTGGTAGTGGTGGAAGTGGGTTCCCTTTAATGTGTCCCAGCCCACCAGGAGACTTAAGAGAAAGGGACTGTGGACACAAGAAGAAATAGAGGAGGATTTGGGGTTTTGGTGACTGTGAGGCTGGGAAGACACTTCTTGACTTTGGGAGTGGTCCCCAGGGGCAGCTTTCAACTGTGAGCAGGGATGTAAGTCAGATGCGGCACTGCAGCAGCTTCGGGCAGCCGCCCTAATTAGTCGTGGACTGGAATGGGTAGCCAGCGGCCAGGATACCAAAGCCTTACAGGACTTCCTCCTCAGTGTGCAGATGTGCCCAGGTATGTATACTTGCATGACGTCGGCTATGCATAGATGTGCAAGGACAGAGAGGCCCATGGGAAATACTTGGGCGTAAGTGTAAGAGTGGTGTTCTCAGACAGGAGGGGTGATTGGGGTTGTGCTATATATACCTAGGGATATATCCAGGTGTTCAAATATACACAGTGTGTATGCAGGGCTCCCAAGAGTTCCCTGGTTTCCCCGATATCCTCAGACACAAAGACCATGACTCTGCTGTTGTGGGTTGCACAGGAGTAGGGGGCAGATGATGGACACTGGGATGGGAATGGTTGTGAATGATCTGCCCCCGCTTCCATATGTGAGTGTAGGCAAGATACTTCCTCTCTCTAGGCCTCAGTTTCCCTTTTTATAAAACAATGCCTAAGACTATGTCAAGTTCTAAGACTCTGTACTCTGGGCTGGGGCTACAGGTAATCGAGACACTTACTTTCACCTGCTTCAGACTCTGAAGAGGCTAGATCGGAGGGATGAGGCCACTGCACTCTGGTGGAGGCTGGAGGCCCAAACTAAGGGGTCACATGAAGATGCTCTGTGGTGAGGCTCAGGCCTGCTGGCTTGGGGCTGAGGGGCAGTTGGTGTCCTAGAGTCCTTGGACCTATTGTGGGTGGTGAACACTGAAAGCGGGGGTATGGCTGCCCAGCTTTCTGCCAATCTTTCACCCTTAGGCATCATCCTTCTTTCTCTCCAGGTCTCTCCCCCTGTACCTAGAAAGCTATTTGAGCTGGATCCGTCCCTCTGATCGTGACGCCTTCCTTGAAGAATTTCGGACATCTCTGCCAAAGTCTTGTGACCTGTAGCTGCCACGTTTTGAAGAGCTTGAGCTGGGTCCCCAGTGGGCTGTCTCTCTGTGGGGAGGGCTTTCTGCTTCACCATCATTAGGAATGTGACCATTCCTATATAATTCCTGGACTGGTGAGATTGGTGGTAGGCCTGTGAAATTTGCCCTAGTTACTACCATTCTCGTTTTGGAGGAAACAATCTCTGCCACCACCAAGTCATTGACTTTGCTCGAGGCACCTTTTTTCCTGTTTCTCCTTTTCTGTTGTCGAGTAAAATTTCATATTTATCTCGTCTGCCTACTACATATACTTGCGTGGGAAGGCTTGTGACCGTCTAGTTGAGTGCTAGTTGTCTATGATGCCCTTTCCTGACATCGTCTACCTTATGAACTTGAAGTCTGGGTATGAGGAAAGGGCTACAGGAATCCTCACTTTGGAGGCAGTGGCTTTAGTCCTTCACATTGCCTGAATGCAGAGCCCCAAAGCCCAGGACAGTGACAATGAGTGGAGTTGGGTCTGAAGGGTGGTCTAGATAGGCCTCTCAGGACAAGGGCAGGTACCTGTTACTTAGAGACAGGCAGGTTTCTCTCAGAGTAACTCTTCACTCCCTTCCTAATTCCAAATTCTAGAAATTCGACTCGTCTTAGTCAAATGTGTCTGTGTGGGTACAGGGTGAAAGGTGAATTGAGTCAGCATATCACCAACAGCTGCCTGTTGACTACTAACAGGGACCCCTGTTATTTGGGGCCCAAGGATTTTCAAGTCCCAGCATATGCAGTTTTCTTGCTAATTTGGGTTCTACTGAATTGGCTGTGTGTTCTGTGGTTGCCCTTTGACTTCTCTGGATTTGAGTGCCTTATTATAAGGTATTAATATTAATGACGGGAGGAAGAAAGGCACAAGCGCTGAGAAACTGCAAAGGCTGTGGGATTGGGGTTACCAGAGGGTGCAGTGACAATGGGGTAGGAGTGGGGTGCTAGTCAGAAAGTTCAGAGTAGGGGTGGTTGGAGGCAGCGTTGAGAAGGAGCAAGAAGTGTCAGGGTGGTGATGGCGTCTTAGAAGATCTCCAGGTTTTGGGAGAAGATGGGTGTATGGGTTACCACAATAGGACTAGACTAATACAAGGGTTCAGTCTATTGTGCCACGTTCTTCCAGGAGGATAAACTCCGGAGCCAATGAACTGGAGCCAAGTGGGAGAGTCCGCCTCTAAGGGATTAAAGGGTCTCCTTTCACTAATCGATCTCGCCCTATTCCTTTCGTTGATTGGCTGAGAATTCCAATCCGTCGAGGAAGCGTAGCGTTGCGGCCAATTGACGTGGCGTTACTAGGCGTGTCGCATCACTGAGGCGGGAGCCAGGCCGCAAGCGAATTTCCTGATTGGCTGTGATCTGCGGGTTGCTGGGGAGAGGCGCGGAGAGGCGGGCGAGAGTCCGCAGGGCAGGCGCTGATTGGCTGAGGTGGGAGCAGCTTCCCTTCCGATGATTCGGCTCTTCTCGGCTCAGTCTCAGCGAAGCGTCTGCGACCGTCGTTTGAGTCGTCGCTGCCGCTGCCGCTGCCACTGCCACTGCCACCTCGCGGATCAGGAGCCAGCGTTGTTCGCCCGACGCCTCGCTGCCGGTGGGAGGAAGCGAGAGGGAAGCCGCTTGCGGGTTTGTCGCCGCTGCTCGCCCACCGCCTGGAAGAGCCGAGCCCCGGCCCAGTCGGTCGCTTGCCACCGCTCGTAGCCGTTACCCGCGGGCCGCCACAGCCGCCGGCCGGGAGAGGCGCGCGCCATGGCTTCTGGAGCCGAGTGAGTGTGCGCGCGCCGTTCGCTTGCTGCGGCGGCGCGCACCGGGACCAGCCGCGCAGGGTAGGCCCGGCGGGGCCTGGCCGTGGGCGCGTCAGAGAGGTGGAGACCAGGAAAGAGGGAAGGGAAGCTAGGGGGCGAGTGAGGGGCCGTGGACCCGGCAGGCCCGGCTGGGGCCAGCTGCGCACCCGCGCGCCCCCTAGGCGGGGCTTGCGTTGGGTCCGGGTCGGAGCCTGGGCCGGATCGTGCTGTGTCATGCAGGCCCCGGCCCGCCCGATTGGCTCCCTTAGAACGGACGTCTGGGCCTGGCCAGGTCTTCCGGCCCACTCCGCCGGCGCGGCGCCCCGGGGCTTTGGGGCGCCAGTCTGCCGTCCGGCCTACCACCCGCCGAAAGCCTTTGGTCCCCGGAGAGAGCAGGCCCCGCGAGCCCGAGGCCCCAGCCGGGCCCGGTGGGCGTGGACTTTGCGCCATGTGAAGGCCTCAGGAGCTCTGCCACCGAGGCGGAGCCCGGGGTCGGGGAAGGCCCGCCGAGCTCAGGGAAGCTCACAGCCGCCTTTTTGGAGCCGGGTCGGCGGGGCCGGAGGTGGGCATCCTCTGTGTGTGACCTGAGTCGTGAAGGACTGTTAGGGAGAGGGCGAGCCCTACCTTTCGCTTCTGGTCTTCTTACTTTAGGCCTGTTGTTCATACTAGAAAGTTTGAGCCAGTTTTCCTTAATGTTATGACTCGTGGGTGGGGAGAAAGGAATTTTTCTTTAACATTTTAGGTTCTTGCTAAAGTTGGAATCTCAGTTCGTGTTTTGTGCGCCTTTCCAGATTTCCAGGTTTCGTGGTGTGCAGTTTAGAGTTGCACTAACTCTTCAAAAACACAAACGTGCGCGCACTCCTTTCCCCAACCAGCTATATTGAGAAATTACCCGGGCTCTGGGGCTTTCTGACCCCACCTCCATCCTTAGGAAAGCGTTAGATAAAACTTGGCTACCTCAGCCCATTCAATTTAGAATAGAGAGCTTTTAGAGGCAAAAAAAAAAAAAAAAAAAAAAAAAAAAACACAGCCAGCCCAAGGAAACTCTATGCAAATTACCTTCCTTCCTTGAAGAGATTAGTTTTTTGAGGTGTGTTCCTTTTTCTCAAGTTTCTGAATTCGGATAAAGTATTACTCAGTTGCTTATTTAAAAGAGTCACTTATTCTGAAAGTATTCTTTTGGTTTATATGCAGTCAGCCTCTTATTTTCAAAAGTAAAAATCTAAAATTCTTGGAACCTGGCATCATCAGCTGTTTCTAACCTCTTGGTCACCTTGATGACTCTTAGCTGAAACCCTTCCAAGTCCCGTGGAGTCCCCTGTGCAGTTCTGGAAAGGGATTGACTTATACAGAAGACAATGGAGGATTGCCCCAAAGAGTGTCCAGAACTGCTGTTGGCCCATGGTCAGGCCAAATTCAGTCTTTTAGAGATTACCACATCTGATCTCAGTAGGTAGATGGGGAATTAGAGGCTTTACCTTAAGAAAAGGGCATACCACTCATCTCCAGAGCCAGAGTCCGGGATGGTAGGCAGAATGGAGGTTTTCCTAGGATACAGCTTTGAGATTAAAATACAAACTATTGACCGGGCACAGTGGCTCAGGCCTGTAATCCCAGCATTTTGGGAGGCCGAGGCAGGCAGATCACTTGAGGTCAGGAGTTTGAGACCAGCCCGGGCAACATGGAGAAACCCCATCTCTATTAAAATGCAAAAAGTAGCCAGGCATGGTGATGGTGCACACCTGTAGTCCCAGCCACTCTGGAGGCTGAGACAGGAGAATCACTTGAACCCAGGGAGGCAGAGATTGCAGTGAGGGAGATCGCGCCACTGCACTCCAGCCTGGGCAACAGAGGGAGACTCCGTTTCAAAAAATAAAAAACTATGGTGACTAGAGGCATCTGGCGTTTTATTTTTCTCCAGTCCCAGTTCTATAAGTCAAGCAAGAAGATGGGCAGTCCCTGGAAGAGTATTTTGATGGGACAGGAGTGGGAGAGCTCGTGGGTTTACATTGCTCTCAACTGTCACATTGAGCATGCTTGGCCTCTAGTGTGTTGATAAGCATTGGAAGAGTCTGCCTACTCAGCAGCATTGTGCCTGGAGTGGCAGACTTTTGGAATGGGGGAAGCAAATTTGAGCAGAGGAAACTGTCGTTAGAAACTAGTTTAGAGGCAGTGGTTAAAAATGCAGCCTATGTGTGAGGGTTAGCAGAAGGCCTACCATTTTGTTAGATGAATGGGGTTTGTTTTTCTCTTGGGTGTATCAGGACCCAAAGATGTAAGAACCCCATGGCTTCCTAGCTGAGCACAGCATTTTTCTTTGTCTCTTGCAAATTGTGAGGATATTTCCAATGGGAATACTATTTTGTCTTGTTTTGTTGACTTCAGTATCCCCAGCCCTTAGAACAATGCCTGGTACATAATAGAGACTCATGAATTTGTTGAATGAAGAAATTCGTTTTAAAAATTTATTTTCTTTGCTTCCTTCATTGTCTGGCCTTCCTACTTTGGTTAATGCTTATGTTTTCCTGAGCCTTACTAACACGAGGCCGCTCTTAAAAAAGAGAGAGCGCTGGGTGCTGTGGCTCACGCCTGTAATCCCAGTACTTTGGGAGGCCGAGGTGGGCAGATCACCTGAGGTCAGGAGTTCGAGACCAGCCTGACCACCATGGTGAAACCCCATCTCTAGTAAAAATGCAAAATTAGCCAGGTGTGGTGGCGCATGCCTGTAATCCCAGCTACTCGGGAGGCTGAGGCAGGAGAATCACTTGAACCCGGGAGGTGGAGGTTGCAGTTAGCTGAGATCGCAGCATTGCATTCCAGCCTGGACAACAAAAGCGAAACTCCATCTCAAAAAAAAAAAAAAAAAAAAAAAAAGGGAGAGGGAGCTTGCTGAGTCTAGTAAGTGACAGCTGGAAACGGGCTAGGTAATAAGTTGGTGTCACTGTCTGGTGAATGATCCTAGCTTCTAGGAAATAACACTGAGTGTAGACCCAGTCGACTTTGATTTGGGTGAGAGGGATTTGGATTTGCCCCATGTCTCAGCATTTCTTGGTTTTGATTTTTTGAGCCAACTTTATGGAATTGTGTACTTTTGCAGATATTACTGTGAAGTTCCTTTTGACCTTGAGCCTCTTTCTGGCGGTTTGATGTCTGTTAGTGTTTTTTCCAAATATGATGGTCTTTATGCTTGGCATTCCTTTGGTACTATGGAATGCCCTGGCATCAGTAGGTTTAGCCTATAAGGAGGGTAGCACCAATGATTCTGCTTCGTTGTCCCCAGGCTTGCTTGGTAGAACTTAAGGCCTCCCTGAGCCTCAAGGGAGGTTGTCTGGCTTACTTAATTCCCTGGAAAGTTAGCTTATGCTTTACTCTATACTGTTAATCATGGTGACCATTAATACCATGTGCCAGGTATTATGTTAAGCATTTTACATTCATTATCTCCCTTAAGACAATAAGCCTCTGAGATAAGTATTATATTCCTTCTTTTATAGAGGAGGACATCAAAGTTCAGAGGTTAGGTAACTTGCCCAAGATCACAATTAAGCAGTGGCATAATTGGAATTCAGACCCAATGGGTCTGACTATAGAGTTCCTGCTCTTAACCACTCTTCTGTAAGTCTAAGACTATTTTTATTTCTCTAACAACTATTCAGCCTCCATTTCTATTATGTCTTCTTCTTAGGCCATTATTTTCTGACCCTGGGGCAGGATCACTCACTTGGGGCCTTATAGCTGGGACACTGACGCTCAAAATACCAGGAGCTGCTGGAATGGGTATTGTAATATGTATGGTAGATACTGCTCCTCGTGACCTTGGCTGCCTTTCCTTCATCTGAGCTTTCTGGTCTAGGGACAGCTTCATCTATTCACTGTTTCTTTCCTAAGTATGAGTTTTAGAGACTGGCGAGGCGCTTGGGGCAGGAGTATCTACTGACTCCATTTCCTCCTTCTAGTTCAAAAGGTGATGACCTATCAACAGCCATTCTCAAACAGAAGAACCGTCCCAATCGGTTAATTGTTGATGAAGCCATCAATGAGGACAACAGTGTGGTGTCCTTGTCCCAGGTAAGCTGTGGCCACAGACTAGTCTTTCCTTACTGCACTTACTTGAGGGATTTTCCCAGGTTTCTTTTCTCATTTTTCTTGCAGTGACTGCAGATAGAGTGGGGTTTACTGGGAATCCCAATCTCCAGGGCTGCTGCTTACTCCCCGTCAGCCCAATGACCCAAAGGCCTTAACTTTCTTTCCTCAGCCCAAGATGGATGAATTGCAGTTGTTCCGAGGTGACACAGTGTTGCTGAAAGGAAAGAAGAGACGAGAAGCTGTTTGCATCGTCCTTTCTGATGATACTTGTTCTGATGAGAAGATTCGGATGAATAGAGTTGTTCGGAATAACCTTCGTGTACGCCTAGGGGATGTCATCAGGTGTGTGTGGGGTTTTTGGCTTCACAGGGATGGGAGGCCAGAGATAGCCTGCATTACAGGCAGGACCCATGTATTACAGGCAGGACCAAGTTCTTGGCACCTGTCGATGCAGGAAGCCTCCTGGTCATGGGAAGACTTATGCTTCAGGGTTGTCTTTAGGTTTTGGTTCTGCCTCCCTGGGACTTCAAAATCCATTTCTGCAGGTCCCTTGAGACAAATTGGCGTTCCTGTAACTTTCTTGATGGCTTTATTTTTTCCTACTAGAGGTGTAATTTATCATACTTATATCCTGGCTTAGGATACCACTCGAGGGTGTGTATGTATATGCCAAATAATCTCCTCACTACTCTCACTAGTATGTCTAATTGATGGCTTGTGTTGGGGTTGGAATGAGGTGGGGGTATGGGCATGGAAGGTGAGCTGCTAGCAGGTCTTTTAAGCCCCTAAGTTAACCCGGGAGAGAGGAATAGTTGGAGCCAGACCTGGGATAGCTCTCAATGTGAGTGATTTTGCTTGTTCTTGCATAATTTTAGGCAAGAGGTTACCCCATCTTGGAGTCATCTCTAGCCACTCCTACCCAACCAACCATCACCTGGCCAGGATCATCTCAGGCTTTTGATTCTTTTGAATGGAGTCTAAGTTTCATGTAGCTTTCTTCTTGGGAGTGCTTAGTCACTTCCTCAAGGTGTTCTGACCACCTGGCTGAGATAATTTTGTTTTTTTCACTTCTGTTTCACTGACCCTGACAATTGTTAGCTTAAGACCTTCCCTTGTAATATTGGGTCACCAGTATTAGCTAGAAGGGGATCATCCTTGGATATCTCCCTGAAGACCCTGCATGTCTTTGTGGGGTTTCTAAATGTGTGGCTCTTGATTTTGGCTCACTGATTAGGAGTGAGTGGGGCTGTTCCTTCGCCCTCACTTCCACCCTGTTCTCCTTCCTCTCTTCGCCTAAAGCCATCCTGCCTTTTCTTTTTCACTTACTATCAGCTATCTGTGCCAGGCCCTTTTGGACACCCAGTGCTTGGGCCCGAAGTGTGGTTGGTAATATGGAGTCTGCTTGTCATCCTCAGCATCCAGCCATGCCCTGATGTGAAGTACGGCAAACGTATCCATGTGCTGCCCATTGATGACACAGTGGAAGGCATTACTGGTAATCTCTTCGAGGTATACCTTAAGCCGTACTTCCTGGAAGCGTATCGACCCATCCGGAAAGGTGAGAGCTAATTCTGAGCTTAAGGATTATTGACTGTAGGGAATAAACCTTGGAACATCTTTATCTCATTTTCTTTTTCTTTTTTTTTTTTTAAATCTTTTATGCTTTTCCCCTGTATTTATTTATTCATTTTTTAAGAGATGGGGTCAGCTGGGCACCGTGGCTCACACCTATAATCCCAGCAATTTGGGAGGCTGAGGCGGGTGGATCACTTGAGGCCAGGAGTTTGAGACCAGCCTGGCCAACATGGCGAAACCCCATCGTGGGCACCTGTAATCCCAGCTACCTGGGAGGCTGAGGCATGAGAATTGCTTGAACCCAAGAGGTGGAGGTTGCAGTGAGCCAAGATTGGGCCACAGTACTGCAGCCTGGGTGACAGAGCAAGACTCTGTCTCAAAAAAAAAAAAAAAGAGACAGGGTCTCACTATGATGCCCAGGCTGGTCTCAAACTGCTGGGCTCAAGTGATCCATCTGCCATGGCCTCCCAAAGTGCTGGGATTACAGGCATGAGCCATCAAGCCTAGTCTCATTTTCTTTTCTTTTTTTTTTGAGACAGAGTGTCGCGCTGTCCCCCAGGCTGGAGCGCAGTGGTGCAATCTCGGCTCACTGCAACCTCCGCCTCCTGGGTTCAAGCAATTCTCCTGCCTCAGCCTCCCAAGTAGCTGGGATTACAGGCGTCTGCCACCACGCCCGGCTAATTTTTGTGTTTTTAGTAGAGACGGGGTTTCACCATGTTGGTCAGGCTCGTCTCGAACTCTTGACCTCAGGTGAGCCACTGTGCCCGGCCGCTAGACTCATTTTCATATATTTGTATACACACACATGCAAACCCTGCACACATATTCATATGTCTTACCCTCTTTTTTTCCTCCATCCTTCCTTTGCTCCATCTCTCCCCTTCTCTGTTCCAGGAGAGTAAGCTATCTTTATGGATCTCTGAAGGAGAAAGTGGTCCATTTTGGCTGGGTCAGGGTCCAGAGTGCACAGTTCTACCATTGGTGGTTGTAGTGAAAACTTGGGCTACCTATATGGCAGAAGTCAGAACTTGATGGGCTTCTGACATGTCAGGTTTTGTTCACTGACCTCTTGTCAGAGGGACTCTTCACAGTTTACCTTTCTCATCTTGCCTGCTGCTTATTAAGACAGGTGGGGTGGAGTTGGGGAGAGGTAGGGCAATATCTAATGAAGGGCACTATCTAATGAGCTTGGCATTTTGACCCCAGGGTCTGATGAGTTCTCACTTTGTCTTGTAGTTGACACCTCTAACTGTGCTTGTACTGTTTGCTCTCGCAGGAGACATTTTTCTTGTCCGTGGTGGGATGCGTGCTGTGGAGTTCAAAGTGGTGGAAACAGATCCTAGCCCTTATTGCATTGTTGCTCCAGACACAGTGATCCACTGCGAAGGGGAGCCTATCAAACGAGAGGTGAGTTTTCTCCCTGATTCCAGTATCCGATTTTATGATTACTCAGTGTGGCATCATGTGGTAACTGTCAGGACTGGGTGCTCGGCCGGCTGCGGTGGCTGACACCTGTAATCCCAGTACTTTGGGAGACTGAGATGGGCAGATCACTTGAGGTCAGGTGTTCAAGACCAGCCTGGGCAACATGGTGAAATCCCATCTCTACTAAAAATACAAAAATTAGCCAGGCATGGTGGTACACATCTGTAATCCCAGCTACTCAGGAGGCTGAGGCAGGAGAATCGGTTGAACCCAGGAGTCGGAGGTTGCAGTGAGCTGAGATTGTGCCACTGCACTCCAGCCTGGGTGACAGAGTGAGACTCTGTCTCAAAAAAGAAAAAGACTGGGTGTTCTTTGGAGAACTAACCATCTTTCAGGGATGAGAAACCTGCCAGCTATTCATTTCTGGGCCTAATTGTTTCTTGGATTTACCTAATGCCAGGAATTTCAAAAAACTAGACTGAACCCAAAATATATAAGTGATTGAAATCATTTTTGAAGTAAAGCTGATGGTGGCTTCAGGCCTCTGCCCATTCCCAGGGTTTCCAGCTTCAGATTTTAGAGACCCCTTCTCAGTAAGACTACGAGTAATGTGAGAGGCAAGGACTGTGCTAGAAATCTTTGCCTTGGGATTTTTGTAGTTGTTCTTTGAGGCCGGATCCCTTTAGAGGAGAATCTTTTTTAAATTTAATTTAATTTTTAATGAGATGGAGTCTTGCTGTATTGCCCAGGAACTCCTGGACTCAAGCATTCCTCCCACCTCTGCCTCCCAAAGTGCTGGGATTACAGATGTGAGCCACCATGCCGGGTTGAGAATCTTCTTATACGGTAGGTTTTTGCACACTAGGTAGTGGAATGATTTAGAGAAACTCAGCTTTTGCTGATATAATATTCTTGCCTTCTCCTTTCTTTATCTCCTCCATATTCAGGATGAGGAAGAGTCCTTGAATGAAGTAGGGTATGATGACATTGGTGGCTGCAGGAAGCAGCTAGCTCAGATAAAGGAGATGGTGGAACTGCCCCTGAGACATCCTGCCCTCTTTAAGGCAATTGGTGTGAAGGTGAGCATCCTGGGCTCTGGAATCAAGTCTAAAGTGGTGCCAATGTCTAATCCTGTCCCAATGTCTAATCCTGGGACTGTTTTCATGCATGGCTTTCATTATTGCCTTGGATTAGAGGGGCAATAACGTATCCTTTAGTTTACCTAAGGCTCTAAATTCATTAGAGCTGATGGTCTAAAACCAGAGTAGGCTAATCAAATTGTCTGTTGTGTGCGTGTGCGCACAAAACACACACACATATATATATGGGTTTTTCTTTACAACTCTTAGAATATAAAAGCCATTCTTGTATCAATGGACCCTGTAAAAACAAATCTCACCATAGTTTGCCAGCCTGTCTAGAGCAATGTCACCCAGTAGAAGTAAGGAAGTTAAGGAAATTTTCAGAGTGTTAAAGGGTTCTGAGTCTAAAACATTTGAGAACTATTGGTCTAGAGTGTAGCTTCTCAATCTTTTCCTAGTGGGAAAGTGTTTCCATGGAACACACTGAAGATGAAGTTACTCATTTTCCTAGTGGGTGGCACACAAATAATTTCATTTTCTATGTGGACAGTTTACATGTTCTGCTTGTGGATGAGGCCATAGAAAGGGTAGTGTTGAAGAAGAAAAATGATGATTGTAAGGAACAGCATTCCAGTGTGATAAATTCTGGAGGGCATGATTACTGGAGTGAGTGATCCTCTGGCAATGAAGAAAATAGACCCTGCTCTCTTAAATGGCTTAGCTAGTCTTTGGCCCTTGGTCTGTCTAAAATTGAGCCCTTAGTGTAATGGCCTCTTGCCTTTCCCTAGTCATGTATCTTCAAACGCATTTGGACTACAGTTTCTCTGCCCTTAGTCTCCTATGCAAGTTGCAATCATAAATGTTGCCCACTTTCTAGCAGTATTTTCCCTGCTAGTAATAGAAATGAGTGTGGCCTAAAGTAATTGTCTTCTTAGCATTTACTGCGGAGGGCTTATTCTTAATATTGTCAGGGTTGAAGCCTGATTCTCACCCTCTCTGGAGCGCTAGTCAAGCCATTTTAGGGTTTGGGAGAAGGTGGGAACCTAATCACACTCTGCATTGGTCCACAGCCTCCTAGAGGAATCCTGCTTTACGGACCTCCTGGAACAGGAAAGACCCTGATTGCTCGAGCTGTAGCAAATGAGACTGGAGCCTTCTTCTTCTTGATCAATGGTGAGATATTTGGTTCATCTTATGTCTAGCTAGACCCAATTTTGAACTGGGCTTATGAGCTGGAGCACTTATGAACACATCCTTTTTGCACCCATGCCCTCCTTCATGTTTATAGCATATTTCTTATGCTGGGGTATGTTACAGACAGAAGAGCAATAAAGGGAAGATATTTTACATTGGTGCTCCCTGTCCTGCCCCCTTTGAGAAAGATTGTGGACAGACTGCAGAGCGGGAGCAAGCTAGAATGAGAAATCAAAGGGTGAATGGTTAGTGATTTGAGAGGGTTTGGGGCAAATGAACTTTGATCACTGGCTCTTGGAGAATGCTGTTTAGTGGTGTGCCATCTGGTGTGCCATCTCTCTTGCTCTAGCCAGAGGTCCTAGAGCATTTGCTGTCACCTTTACAGTTCAACTGTGAGAAGAGTATAGTGAGTCCCTGGGCTTCTCTCCAGCCTTGCCTGGTGGCTGTCCTGGGATAATGGCTGGTAGAGGATGTGAGAAGTAGGCAGAGGTTACCACCTTCTCACCCAGGACCTGTCTCTGGGCCAAACAAGCAAGATAACTGATTTTTGGGAGGAATTGGGAAAGACTATCATTTTGTTATTGTCTCCATTCTGTATCCTTTCAGGTCCTGAGATCATGAGCAAATTGGCTGGTGAGTCTGAGAGCAACCTTCGTAAAGCCTTTGAGGAGGCTGAGAAGAATGCTCCTGCCATCATCTTCATTGATGAGCTAGATGCCATCGCTCCCAAAAGAGAGAAAGTAGGAGCTTACCTGAGGGGATAGAGGGGGGTTGAAAGGCCCTGACTTCACTTCTGACCAGACATCCTGTTCTGGCAGACTCATGGCGAGGTGGAGCGGCGCATTGTATCACAGTTGTTGACCCTCATGGATGGCCTAAAGCAGAGGGCACATGTGATTGTTATGGCAGCAACCAACAGACCCAACAGCATTGACCCAGCTCTACGGCGATTTGGTAAGGACTCCAGATACTTTTGACCCCGTCCTTGCTTAGGTCCTACTTCTCTCCTTCATCTAAGTCACCTAATCCTCTTGAAGCCCTTCACAGTGATTGGGTCCAGGGGTCTTTTTCCTTTACCCTACGTCCTGTCTAGAGTGACCAACCACCCTGGTTTTCCTGAGACTGAAAGGTTTCCCAGAGCTTGAGACTTTTTTAGTGCTGGCATTAGGACAATCCTGTGCTGGCTGAGATGGTTGGTCACCCTAGGCCTGTCTCTTACCTCTGGACTAGAGATGAGCCCTGTTTATGTTTGTGTACTGTCCCACAGGTCGCTTTGACAGGGAGGTAGATATTGGAATTCCTGATGCTACAGGACGCTTAGAGATTCTTCAGATCCATACCAAGAACATGAAGCTGGCAGATGATGTGGACCTGGAACAGGTGAAGTGATGATGATGGCTGACCAGGCGTTACAGTGTCTCTAGGCAGTTGCTGGGAACTGGCTAGAGACATAAGGTTAAGATGTGAGGAGATGGGTTTTGATTTCTGGACAGGGGAAAGGAAGTAATCTGAGATTGAATCCAGGAAATGGGAGTTGGCATTTTTCATAGTTGACGCTGCATTTAGAGTAAATCAGAATTGTTGGAGCAGCCTTATTTCTAGGTCCCAAGTCCAGAATTAAGTACTTAAAACCCAGCCCATAAAGGTATTGATAGTATATATTCAAGGAAATGAGAGGACCCAGGGATAGCAGTCAGGGGAAGGATTCTATTGTCTCTGAGCCTCCTGCAGCAGCTGGGTCTTTGAGGCAGCATAGTAAGTAGATCTTTCTCTGCAGGTAGCCAATGAGACTCACGGGCATGTGGGTGCTGACTTAGCAGCCCTGTGCTCAGAGGCTGCTCTGCAAGCCATCCGCAAGAAGATGGATCTCATTGACCTAGAGGATGAGACCATTGATGCCGAGGTCATGAACTCTCTAGCAGTTACTATGGATGACTTCCGGGTAAGGACCACACCCGTGCCTCAGGTACACACATACGTGCTTTGACCCCTCCCTTGATAAGTCTCATCCCCAGTTTTCCCTCCTTTTCTAGTGGGCCTTGAGCCAGAGTAACCCATCAGCACTGCGGGAAACCGTGGTAGAGGTGCCACAGGTAACCTGGGAAGACATCGGGGGCCTAGAGGATGTCAAACGTGAGCTACAGGAGCTGGTCCAGGTAGGGCAACTTGGTCCAGGGTGAGTCACTGTCTCAGTACATTGTAATTGATCTGGGTGATCTCAGGGTGTCAACACATTTGCTGCAAGAGTTGTGAGAGCACGACTTAGGAACCTACTGTTCTTAGGTTTGAGGCACTAAGGAGTCTTCTTCTAGAGAACCTGGATCTGATACCATTGGGTACACCATGAAATAATGGAGGGGATGCTTCTGTTTAGTTAGGTTTCTTTCAAAATGTGGAGGTAGCCTTGAACCCTCTTTCCTTTTCCTCCTAGTATCCTGTGGAGCACCCAGACAAATTCCTGAAGTTTGGCATGACACCTTCCAAGGGAGTTCTGTTCTATGGACCTCCTGGCTGTGGGAAAACTTTGTTGGCCAAAGCCATTGCTAATGAATGCCAGGCCAACTTCATCTCCATCAAGGGTCCTGAGCTGCTCACCATGTGGTTTGGGGAGTCTGAGGCCAATGTCAGAGAAATCTTTGACAAGGTGAGCTACAATAGGCTGAACTATGTATTGATTTGCCTGAGGGCAAGGAATAGAGGCTGTTTTTCTTTAAGAGGGTTGAAATATTCTTAGTGCTGGCTGCTCAACTGCACAGTAAGTCACTTGATTTTCTTTCTGAGGTCTGAGAGACCTAGTGTTATTTTTTTTTTCTCTCTCTCTCTCTTGAGACAGGGTCTGGCTCTGTTGCCCAGGTTGGAGGGCAGTGGTACAGTCATGGCTCACTGTAACCTTGAAACCTGGGCTTAAGCAATTCTCCTACTTCAGCCTCCTGAGTAGCTGGGACTATAGGCATGCGTCACCACATCTGGCTAATTTTTTATTTTTTGTAGAGACAAAGTCTCAGTATGTTGCCCATGCTGGTTTCGGATTTCTGGCCTCAAGTGATCCTCCCACCTTGGCCTCCCAAAGTGCTGGGAATACAGGTGTGAGCCACCACGTTTGCCTAGAGACATCTAGTTTTGTTAGTGCTTGAATCAATCCATTCCTCCTACAGGCCCGCCAAGCTGCCCCCTGTGTGCTATTCTTTGATGAGCTGGATTCGATTGCCAAGGCTCGTGGAGGTAACATTGGAGATGGTGGTGGGGCTGCTGACCGAGTCATCAACCAGATCCTGACAGAAATGGATGGCATGTCCACAAAAAAAAATGTGTTCATCATTGGCGCTACCAACCGGCCTGACATCATTGATCCTGCCATCCTCAGACCTGGCCGTCTTGATCAGCTCATCTACATCCCACTTCCTGATGAGAAGTCCCGTGTTGCCATCCTCAAGGCTAACCTGCGCAAGTCCCCAGTTGCCAAGGCAGGTGCAAGATCATGGGCTGTGGGAGACTTGCATGAGTCCTCAGGCTGGTACGGAGTGCTCTTTAGTTTCTGGACAAGATTCCACTGGGGTTAGGGTTGGTCTAAAGGGAAGGTAGAATTTTTGAGGATATCAAGATAATCTAGAATCAGGAATAAAATGGGGTGGCCAAAGAAGGGGCAAACTGTAGTTGGGAGTGCTCGGGTAGCCCAAAGATCTGCGTATCTCGAGAGGAGAGGCTAAATGCTAAGGTACCTCTGCTGCTGCTTTTAGGATGTGGACTTGGAGTTCCTGGCTAAAATGACTAATGGCTTCTCTGGAGCTGACCTGACAGAGATTTGCCAGCGTGCTTGCAAGCTGGCCATCCGTGAATCCATCGAGAGTGAGATTAGGCGAGAACGAGAGAGGCAGACAAACCCATCAGCCATGGTGAGTCTGCATCCTTTCCCCAGATGTGCCAATCATGGAGAGCCAGGCAGCAGCCACCACCATGCCCTGGAGTTGAGAGTAGAAGCTGTTGGAAAGATCATCTAACTGAGAAGAATTTTAATAGGGCATCAAAGATAAAGAATGCTGAGGTGAATCCATTCAATTTGGAATAAGGCCGAGAAGAGATGGTCAGGCTCCATTCTCAGTCTGAACCAAGCTCCATGAGGGAAATCAAAGTATGAGAGTGCAGCAAACACAGCAAGGTTTTTTTTGTTTTTTGTTTTTTGTTTTTTTTTTGAGACGAAGTCTCACTCTGTTGCCCAGACTGGAGTGCAGTGGCACGATCTTGGCTCACTGCAACTTCTGCCTCCCAGGTTCAAGCGATTCTCCTGCCTCAGCCTCCCGAGTAGCTGGGACTACAGGCACATGCCACCATGTCCGGCTAGTTTTTTGTATTTTTTTTTTAGTAGAAACGTGGTTTCACCACGTTAGCCAGGATGGTCTCGATCTCCTGACCTTGTGATGTGCCCACCTCGGCCTCCCAAAGTGCTGGGATTACAGGCGTGAACCACAGAGCAAGGTTTTGAGCTGAGATGAGACTCATATACTTATCCCTGATGGTTGGGGAAGGGATAGGGTCCACAGACCTCCCAAAATGAAAAGGCAAATTCATGTGTTTGTAAGTTCCATAAAGGTAAGATCTCTGTCATCTCACTTGTTTTCCACTATGTCTTGTGTTACCCTTAATTAATTCATTAAGTTCCAAACATGGGACTTAATGAGCAAATAAATGGCTTTCTTTCCCTTTTGAAGGGTCTGTGACATCCCTTCTCTCTCCCATAAAAGCTTAACAACTACTGATGAACTAATCCTAGGAGGTAGTCACATAAGTCACAGAAATTGGCCTCTCAATGGAAGAGATAGGTTTTGAGCTGGGCTGTGAAGAGAGTAGAATTTGAATAAAGGGAATAAGCAGCCCAAATAATGTGCTCTAGTAGTAGGATTGCAATCATTGGGAAACCCTGGGTAGATTTAAGAGTATATATGTCACTGGAAGTGAGACCGCTAGGTAGGATGTAATCCAAATGTGGTAAGCACTGAAAGCCATTGGCATTTCCTTTTAAAGTATTAAGGTTTATTAAGGTATGATATAAATACAATAAAATTCACTCTTTCTATATACCATTTCCATGCTTTATGACAAGTGTGTGTAAGTTCTATAACTACTACCACAGTTGAGACTTAAAATTTCTACTATCTCAAAAAGTTTCCTTAGCCACTTCAGTCAACATCTCCCCTCCTTAAGCCCCATCACTGATGTGATTTCTGTCCCTACAGTTTTCCCTTTTCCAGAGTGCATTGACAAGTTTTTAAGCAGAGCAGTGACTCAATTTTAGGAAGCATGGCCTAGCATCTTACCTCAGGTTGGATTGGAAGGGCAAGGAGACCAATAAACTGCAGTAATGGGAGGCCTGGGATGAAATCCAGGCTGGGCTTTAACTAGCCCTAGTGATCTGTGTTTACCAACTATAGGAGGTAGAAGAGGATGATCCAGTGCCTGAGATCCGTCGAGATCACTTTGAAGAAGCCATGCGCTTTGCGCGCCGTTCTGTCAGTGACAATGACATTCGGAAGTATGAGATGTTTGCCCAGACCCTTCAGCAGAGTCGGGGCTTTGGCAGCTTCAGGTAAGTTGGTTGGGAGCATTAGACAGTGCTTAAGTTACTTTGGGGACCTACACCAAAAGGGATGGGAGTCCTAAGGAAGCTAGAGGGGTAGTTGTGGAAATCTTACACAGGCCCTGTCCTAACCCTCTTTTTTGGCTTTGCTCTTGTACACAGATTCCCTTCAGGGAACCAGGGTGGAGCTGGCCCCAGTCAGGGCAGTGGAGGCGGCACAGGTGGCAGTGTATACACAGAAGACAATGATGATGACCTGTATGGCTAAGTGGTGGTGGCCAGCGTGCAGTGAGCTGGCCTGCCTGGACCTTGTTCCCTGGGGGTGGGGGCGCTTGCCCAGGAGAGGGACCAGGGGTGCGCCCACAGCCTGCTCCATTCTCCAGTCTGAACAGTTCAGCTACAGTCTGACTCTGGACAGGGGGTTTCTGTTGCAAAAATACAAAACAAAAGCGATAAAATAAAAGCGATTTTCATTTGGTAGGCGGAGAGTGAATTACCAACAGGGAATTGGGCCTTGGGCCTATGCCATTTCTGTTGTAGTTTGGGGCAGTGCAGGGGACCTGTGTGGGGTGTGAACCAAGGCACTACTGCCACCTGCCACAGTAAAGCATCTGCACTTGACTCAATGCTGCCCGAGCCCTCCCTTCCCCCTATCCAACCTGGGTAGGTGGGTAGGGGCCACAGTTGCTGGATGTTTATATAGAGAGTAGGTTGATTTATTTTACATGCTTTTGAGTTAATGTTGGAAAACTAATCACAAGCAGTTTCTAAACCAAAAAATGACATGTTGTAAAAGGACAATAAACGTTGGGTCAAAATGGAGCCTGAGTCCTGGGCCCTGTGCCTGCTTCTTTTCCTGGGAACAGCCTTGGGCTACCCACCACTCCCAAGGCATTCTTCCAAATGTGAAATCCTGGAAGTAAGATTGCACCTTCTTCCTCTCCTGATCAACATCGGTATGATGTCTCCTGTTGCCTCACCCTTTGTCTGCAGTATCACTGGATAGGACTGGTGGAAAGGGAGCAGCCTGACAGAGCTCCAAATGTGGAGAATATGGCATCCCTCCACCTATATTTGATGTGGACGGTAAGGCTAGGCCTGCAGGATCCCTTATCCTGACCAAAGACTGTGTTGGGGTGCCATTTGAAAATCGCAGGGTTGCAAAAGAATACAATCTTACTTGCAGGTGGATATTCTCTATACTCTCTTTTAATGCATCTAAAAATCCCAAACATCCCCTGGTTGGTGATCACTTACAGTTGTGTCCACCTTTATTTTATGTACTTTGATTAAAAAAAAAAAACTTTTTGTTAATATAAAATTTTAGTATTGAATTTTTTTTTTTTCCAAACAGAAAATAGACTATCCTCTTCAACAGTAATCACTTAGTGCTTCTAGGGTCAGTACAGTGATGCCTTACCCAGAGAGAGAGTAGTGCAGAGAAAATAAATTACTAAATTAAATATATGTTGATTGGCTTTGGGACATAATCTCAAAAGACAGTCCTGAACACCGTAATTTTGAATAAAATACTGTAATCTCCAAAGATCAAAATCCCTAAAGTCTAAAATTCTGAAAATCACAATCCCAAAAGGTCAAAATCCCAAAATACAATTCTGGAAGAAATACTAAACATTCTTCGAAAATTTACTTACATTTTTAAAAGCGTATTTATTTGAGAAACAACACAACAGAACGTTTCATAGGCCACTACACGATAAAATAGGGAATAGTAACATTTTTGCAAGATAAACACTCAGGTATACCAATGACAGTTGCACGGATATAACGGTGATGAGCAGATGAAACATTCATAAAGAAATAGGTCAAAAAGTGAAATGTATAAATGCTTTGTCACTATGCTTGGTAATTGTGGGCACCTAGCTTTATATAACTGGTCATCTGTAATACTGTGACAGAAAACCTAAGTCTTGATGAGATGGTTCAAAAACTGTTGCGTTACCACTGCATTGTCTCCCAAAGAGACGAGGTCTTGAGAAATTTTATCCTTCACAAATGCACGTGTACAAAAAACAGATGTCTCTTCGTTTATTGAGGAACTTTCAACATTTTTATGCACACATATAATGCTTACACACAGAGTCAACATTGCGGTCATGGAGTCAAATTTTTAATGTCCAAGGCACCAGAAGAAAAATCTGTCCTAGGCTGGGCATGGTGGCTCATGCCTGTAATCCCAGCACTTTGGGATGCTGAGGCGGGCAGATCACCTGAGGTCGGGAGCTCAAGACCAGCCTGACCAAAATGGAGAAACCCCATCTCTACTACAAATACAAAATTAGCCAGGCGTGGTGGCGCTTGCCTGTACTCCCAGCTACTTGGGAGGCTGAGGCAGAGAATAGCTTGAACCCGGGAGGCGGAGGTTGTCGTGAGCTGAGATGGAGCCATTGCACTCCAGCCTGGGCAACAAGAGCAAAACTCAATCTTAAAAAAGAAGAAAAATCTATCCTACCTCTTAGAGACCAATTTGCCTTCTGTATTTGTTCTCTCTGGGCCCCCGCCTGTTGGATGGTACCCACCAACATTGAAGGCAGATCTTCCCCACTCAGTCCACTCAGACTTACAAACTAATCCCCGGAAACAACCTCACAGACACACCCAGATAATGCTTTACCAGGTTTCTAAATACTCCTTAATCCAGTAAAATTGACACCTAAAATTAAGTCCACAATTCTGCTCATTGGCAACTTGGCACCCTTATGTGTCTAAACCATACTTAAGACAATAACAAGGTAATACTTCTGTATAACATGATGCAACTGTCTTGTTTACAACGAAAAACATACTAATCCTTTCCCCAGAATTTGAAATTTTATTTTGTCCAGGTTGTGATTTTAAGGATTTTGATCTTTTGGGACTTCAACATTTGGGGTTATGGTGTTTGGGATTGTGTCCTTCAGGATTATGATCAACACTGGTATTAGTCATCCTAGACTTTATGCTAGGCAAGACCAGGCTCCGTTTTGGTCTACATAGATAATCTTCAAGGATGCATGATACTTACACTGGTTGACTAAACTGGAGCAGCTCTGGAACTCATGCTGTGAAATGGGTATTTTTGCACTTTTGGTATTTGTTATTTCAGGAGGTTTTTAGGGAACAGGTGGTGGTTGGTTACGTGAATAAGTTCTTTAGTGGTGATTTCTAAGATTTTGGTGCACCTGTCATCTGAGCGGTGTACACCGTACCCAATGTGTAGTCTTTTATCCCTCACCGCCCCCCCACCTTTTCCCTGAGTCCCCAGAGTCCGTTGTATCATTCTTACGCCTTTGCATTCTCATAGCTTAGCTCCCATGTACGAGTGAGAACGTATGATGTTTGGTTTTCCATTCCTGAGTGAGTTCACTTAGAATAATGGTATTCCAGTTGCTGCAAATGCCATTATTTCGTTCCTTCTTATGGCTGAGTAGTATTCCCTGGATGTATATATACCACAATTTCTTTCTTTTTTTTTTTTTTTTTGAGATGGAGTCTCCCGTTGTCTCCCAGGCTGGAGTGCAGTGGCATAATCTCAGCTCACTGCAACCTCTGCCTCCCTAGTTCAAGCCGTCCTCCTGCCTCAGCCTCCCATGTAGCTGGGATTACAGGCACACGCCACCACGCCCAGCTAGTTTTTGTATTTTTAGTAGAGATGGGGCTTCACCATATTGGCCAGGCTAGTCTTGAACTCCTGACCTCAGGTATACCACAATTCAATTTATTTATCCACTCATTGATGGGCATTCGGGCTGGTTCCATTAGTTTTGCAGTTGCAAATTGTGCTGCTATAAACGTGCGTTTACAAGTATCTTTTTCATATAATGATTTCTTTTCCTCTGGGTAGATATCCAGTAGTGGGACTGCTGGATCAAATGGTAGTGCTACTTTTAGTTCTTTAAGGAATCTCCACACTGTTTTCCATAGTGGTTGTACTAGTTTACATTCCCACCAGCAGTGTAAAGTGTTCCTGATCACCACATCCACGCCAACATCTTTTATTTTTTGATTTTTTGATTATGGCCATTCTTACAGGAGTAAGGTGTTACCACATTGTGGGTTTGATTTGCATTTCCGTGATCGTTGGTGATGTTGAGCATTTTTTAATATGTTTGTTGGCCATTTGTATATCTTCTTTTGAGAATTGTCTATTCATGTCCTTAGAGCACTTTTTGATGGGACTGTTTTTTTCTTGCTGATTTGTTTCAGTTCCTTGTAGATCCTGGATGTTAGTCTTTTGTTGGGTGTATAGGTTGCAAAGATTTTCTCCCACTCCATGGGTTGTCTTTTTACTCTGCTGACTGTTTCTTTTGCTGTGCAGAAGCTTTTTAATTAAGTCCCATCTATTTATCTTTGTTTTTGTTGCATTTACTTTTGGGTTCTTGGGTCATGAAGTCTTTGCTTAAGCCAATGTCTAGAAGGGTTTTTCTGATATTCTAGAATTTTTATGGTTTCAGGTTTTAGACTTAAGTCTTTGAACCATCTGGAGTTGATTTTTTTTTTTTTTTGAGACGGAGTCTCCCTTTGTCGCCCAGCCTCAGAGTACTCCATCTCAGCTCAGTGCAACTTCTGCCTCCCGGGCTCAAGTGATTCTCCTGCTTCAAGCCTCCCAAGTAGCTGGGATTGCAGGCATGCACCACCACACCTCTGGCTAATTTTTGTATTTTTAGTAGAGATGGGGTTTCACCCATGTTGGCCAGGCTGGTCTCAAACTCCTGACCTCAGATGATCCACCCACCTCAGCCTCCCAAAGTGCTGGGATTTCAGGCATGAGCTGCTGCACCAGGCCTCGAGTTGATTTTTGTATAAGGTAAGAGATGAGGATCCAGTTTCATTCTTCTACATGTGAGTTGCCAGTTATACCTGTATAGCTGTGAACAAGGTGATAGCTCTTTTGGGGCCTCAAGTTTCTTAGTCTGACAAAATGATTGAAAAATGCTTTCTAAACTGTGGAAGCCTGCATACTTAAACCAAGAGGCAAATTGTATAGGCAGTCCATCTTTCCCCTCACATTATACCTAGAAAGAAACTGGAATGTGATCTTACCGTAGCTGATCACTTTATATAGGGTAAACACTGCGATTAGAGGTTGGGTTTCAGACCAAGAATGTGGTATCAAATAGAGGACCAGCAGTATGCCATAGAGGCAAAAACAAAGATGGAACAACATATCTAATGTCTTAAACTATGTTTATATTTGGCCAGGCGCGGTGGCTCACGTCTGTAATCCCAGCACTTTGGGAGGCTGAGGCGGGTGGATCACGAGGTCAGAAGATCGAGACCATCCTGGCTAACACAGTGAAACCCCGTCTACACTAAAAATACAAAAAATTAGCTGGGTGGTGGCAGGCACCTGTAGTCCCAGCTACTCGGGAGGCTGAGGCAGGAGAATGGCATGAACCCGGGAGGCGGAGCTTGCAGTGAGCCTGGGCGACAGATGGAGACTCCGTCTCAAAAAAAAAAAAAAAAATCGATCTATCTATATATATCTAGATAGATCGATCTAAGGTACTGATCCTACAAATTCCCCTGAAAGTTCAGTGGACACAATGCCCGTGAAGGATGCAGGTCTTCCATTTCAGCTGAACTGTGGCAAGTGTCAAATGGTTTGCTAACCCTTGCTCAGCCCCACAACCCACTAGGAGCTTTAAAATACTTAATATAGGATTTGGATTTTTTTTTTTATAAAGCTACTCAGATAAGTGTGAACTCACGTTCCCATGTAAAATGGAAATTCAGAATTGCATTGTCTTTGGAGACCATAGTAGTGGGAGAGGGAAAAGTACCTTTAGTTCCACCCTTGGCCAGCAGGTGGTGAGTTTTGGACTCAGACCCTGTTGACAGGTTTGAGCTAAATAAAGCTTTGGAACAGAACAGTGACACTAGTGAGAGGAATCAAGGAAGCAGCATGTACCTTCTGACTGGCTGATTCTCAACCAAATATACAGAGTAGAGGGAATATGATAGAGTGGAAAGAGCACTGGATTGAGAATTTGAGCTTGACCTCAGAGAACCTCATGTTAAAGCCTTACTATCAGGAAACAGAAGCTATCAACAAGGCACACAGTGTTAATGGGGCTGCAAGGAAGGCAATGCCATGTAAAATACGGTTTCTAGGCCTTAAAGGAAGGTGGGAAACTTGATGTGGAGAAGTGGAGGAGAACAGTTTGAGGCACAGGTCAGAAAGTACAGCACTTGCTCATAAAGCTTAAAGTTAGACTAGCAACAAGAGTCCTGGGGTAAATTTGGAGAGATCAGGAACCATGTTGTGAAGACCCTCAAATGCCAGGACTGAACTTTCTTACAGGTGTGGGTCATCTGGAGGATTCAGGCAAGAAAGTGACATAGGCTTCAGCGTTAAATAATTCAATTTATTTCTTGTGGCAAAAAAAAAAAAATCCAAATAATTCATCCAACGGTTTCCAAGTGTACAGTACAATATTGTCAATCACATGTACGTGGTTATGCGTAGACACTTTACATTAAATAACCTTTTATTTTTATAGAAGCAGTAATGTGCATTGTAGAAATTTAGAAAAATAGGCCAGGGCGTGGTGGCTCACACTGGTAATCCCAGCATTTTGGGAGGCCAAGGCAAGCAGATCGCTTTAGCTTGGGAGTTTGAGACCAGACTGGGCAACTTGGTAAGACCTCATCTCTACAAAAAATACAAAAATTAGCTGGGTATGGTTGTGTGTGCTGGTAGTCCTAGCTACTTGGGAGGCTGAGGTAGGAAGATCACTTGAGCTCAGGAGGTAGAGGCCACAGTGAACAGTGATCTTACCACTGCACTTCAGCCTGGGTGACAGAATGAGACCCTGTCTAAGAAAGAAATTGGTAAAAATATAAGCAAAATTAAAAAAATATTTCCAATAACCAGAGGTCATCACTGTTTTAATAACTTTAGTGCATATGTTTCTGGATCTTTTTTGTGTATGTGTACGTGTCTATACATGTGGTATTTTTAAACCCAAATTGAGATCATACTGCATTATAACTTTTTCGTTTTGGTCAGTATCTTTTTTTTTTTTTTTTTTGAGATGGAGTCTTGCTGTGTTGCCCAGGCTAGAGTCCAGTGGTGAGATCTCGGCTCACTGCAAGCTCCACCTCTTGGGTTCACGCCATTCTCCTGCCTCAGCCTCCCTAGTAGCTGGGACTACAGGCACCCACCACCAAGCCCGGCTAATTTTTTTGTATTTTTGGTAGAGACAGGGTTTCACCATGTTAGCCAGGATGGTCTCGATCTGCTGACCTCGTGATCCACCACCGCCTCGGCCTCCCAAAGTGCTGGGATTACAGATGTGAGCCACCGTGCCCGGCCTTGGTCAGTATCTTTACCTTTCCCTTTATGTAAATGTTCTTGGTTGAGCGTGGTGATGGTGGCTCATGCCTATAATCCCAGCACTTTGAGAGGTCGAGACAGGAGGATTGGTTGAGGCCGGGAGTTTGAGACCAGTCTGGGCAACAAGAGTGAGTCCTCATTTCTACAAAAAATAAAAAAAAAAGTTTGCTGGGCATGGTGGTACACAGCTGTAGTCCTAGCTACTCAGGAGGCTGAGGCAGGAGGATCACTTAAGCCCAGGAGTTAGAGGCTGCAGTGAGCTGTGATTACACCACTGCACCCTAGCCTGGGTGACAGAGCATGACCCTGTCCCTAAAAGCAAAATTCTAGAGGTCAAGAACCAAACTAGATACCCATACCATATTCGGAGTTTCCCCCAAGCGACCCAAATATCATTCACAGCTATTTGGACCAAACCAATATCTAACCTAGGTCCACAAGTTGGCATCTGTTAGATTCCTTTATTCAAACTTTGAAAAATAAGAGACAGGGTTTCGTTCTGTTGCTCAGGCTAAGAGTGTAGTGGCTATTTACGGGTGCTATATCGCTACTGATCTGTGCAGGAATTTTATCTGCTGTGTTTCCCACCTGGGCCAGTTCACCCCTTCTTAGGCACTGGTGGTCCCCCACTTCTGGAAGGTCACCATTATTGATGCCAAACTTAGCATCATTCGGTTCCCAATCGTCATGGCACACTACATCCTGGGCTCAAGGGATTCTCCTGCCTCAGCCTCCCAAGTAGCTGGGCTTATAAGTATGTACCACCACCCCTAGCCTTTTACTCAAACTTTTATGACACTTGTTGAAGAGATCGGGGCAGTTGATCTCCAGAGAATTGTAGCCATGTGCAGGATGGATTAGAAGGAATAGAGCAACCAATTTAGTGAGAAATAATGACTAAGACAATAGTGATGGTGGAAATGGAGAGGGGAAGATGGATTTGAAATACATTTCATAGGTATAATTGACAAGTTTTGTTTTGTTTTGTTTTGTTTTTTTGAGATGGAGTCTTGCTCTATTGCCCAGGCTGGAGTGCAGTGGCATGATCTCAGCTCACTGCAACCTCCGCCTCCTGGTTCAAACAATTCTTCTGCCTCAGCCTCCCAAGTAGCTGGGATTACAGGTGCACACCACCACACCCGGCTAATTTTTGTGTTTTTAGTAGAGATGGGGTACCACCCAGGCTGGTATCGATCTCCTGACCTCAAATGATCCTCCTACCTCGGCCTGCCAAAGTGCTGGGATTACACGCATGAGCCACTGAGCCTGGCTGACAAGATTTGGTGATGGCTTAGATCAGGGAGGAAGGAAGAGTCAAAGCTTAAGTATTTAGGTGGATGTCATGCATTTTGATAGGAATGGGCGTGTTGGAGGAAAAAGTTAAAGGGAAAATACGTTTTTGGACAAGTCAAATATGAGATAATGTCTGGTATGCTGTTGAATATGGGGACCTGAAGCCTAGAGATGCTTAGAAATGACTCATGTTTTTACAATACACCATATTTAATGGAATGGGCTCAAGACATTCTATTTTTAAAAAATGGTATTGGTAAATTGGACATGATTTTGGGGAAGGTTAGATTATCACCTCATACCATAAAAATCGGTAATCTAAAACATAAATATGCAAAATTATCAAAGTGCCAGGAGAAAATGTTTTAGAAGTCATGAAGTAAAGTGTTGGTAGATTTAACTACATAAAAAAATTTTTCTTTGATACAATAGAAGTCACCATAAAATTAGCCAATAAGATACAAATTGGAAGAAAATATTTGGAACATACATAATAGTTTGGGTCACTATCTCTGTAGGCAGGATCATGGCCCTCAAGATGCCCACGTCGTAATCCTTGGAACCTATGTATATATTATTTCACATGGAAAAAGGGGCATTAAGGTTCCAGGTGGAATTAAGGTTGCTAATCAACTGACTTCATTTATTTATTTAGAGACAGGGTCTTGCTCTGTCGTCAAGGCTGGAGTGCAGTGACATGATCTTGGCAACCTCCGCCTCCTGGGTTCAAGCGATTCTCCTGCCTCAACCTCCGGAGTAGCTGGGATTACAGGCACACATACCATGCCAGGCTAATTTTTGTATTTTTAGTAGAGATGGGGTTTTGCCATATTGGCCAGACTGGTCTTGAACTCCTGGCCGCAAACGATCCAGCTGCCCTGGCCTCCTGAAATGCTGGGACTGTTAAGGCATGAGCCACTGCTGCGCCTGGCTATCAACTGACTTTAAATTGGAAGGGTGTCCTGGATTATTCAGCTTTGTCCAGTGTAATCATAAGGGTCCTTAAAAGTGGAAGAGGTAGGGTCGGGCGCAGTGGTTCATGTCTGTAATCCCAGCACTTTTTGGGAGGCCGAGGCGGGTGGATCACTTGAGGTCAGGAGTTTGAGACCAGCCTGACCAACATGGAGAAACTCCATCTCTATTAAAAATACAAAATTAGCCAGGCGTGGTGGCGCATGCCTGTAATCCAAGCTACTCAGGAGGCTGAGGCAGGAGAATCACTTGAACACAGGAGGCAGAGGTTGCAGTGAGCCGAGATTGTGCCATTGCACTCCAGCGTGGGTGATAAGAGTGAAACTCTGTCTCAAAAAAAAAAAAAAAAAAAATGGCTCACGCCTGTAATCCCAGCACTTTGGGAGGCCAAGGCGGGCGGATCACGAGGTTAGGAGTTCGAGACCATCCTGGCTAACATGGTGAAACCCTGTCTCTACTAAAAATACAAAAAAATTAGCCCGGCGTAGGTGGTGCACACCTGTAGTCCCAGCTACTCGGGAGGCTGAGGCAGGAGAACGGCATAAAACCTGGGAGGCGGAGCTTGCAGTGAGCCGAGTTCGTGCCACTGCACTCCAGCCTGGGAGACAGAGCGAGACTCCATCTCAAAAAAAAAAAAAAAAAAAAAAGTGGAAGAGGGAGGCAGAAGAGGTCAGAGTGATACAATGTGAGAAGAACTTGACTTGCCTTTGCTAGCTTTAAAGATAGAAGAAGGGGGTCAGTAACCAAGGAATGTGGGCAGCCTCTAGAAACTGGGAAAGGCAAGGAGTGAATCCTACCCAGAGCCTAGAGAAAAGGATGTAGGCCTGCCAACCCCTTGATTTTAGCCCTGTGAGACATGTGTCAGACTTTTTTTGCGGGGAGGAGACAGGGTCTCTTTTGCCCAGGCTGGCATGTAGTGGTGCAGTGGCTCACTGTAGCCTTGACCTCTCTGGTTCAGGTGATCCTCCCACCTCACCTTGCCCAGTAGCTGGGACTATAGGCATGCACCACCATGCCCAGCTAATTTTTGTGGTTTTTTTGTTTTTTTTTTTTTGTAGAGACAGGGTTTTGTCATGTTGCCCAGGCTGGTCTCAAACTTCTGGGCTCATGCTATCAGCCCATCTCAGCCTCCCAAAGTGTTGGGATTACAGATGTGAGCCACTGCACCCAGGCTCCGTGTCAGACTTCTGACAAAATAAATTTGTTTTGTGGTAATTTGTTACAGCAGCAGTAGAAAACTGTAATACATTGACTAATACAATGTCCAACAAATAGTGCATTAGAAAATGGGTAGAGGATATGACCCGGTGATTATAGAAATCCAGACGGTTACTAGACGTATTAAAAGACACTTGTTTTCATGGCCTTGGAGATGGATGAGCTGACCCAGGGAGAGAAAAGAGCAGAGGGCTGAGAAGAAATGGTCAGAAAGATACGTGGAGAACTTACAGGTCAAGTGGATGAAGAAGAGAACAATACCCAGGACAAAGCACAGTTGCCTAGACTCAGATGACCTGTGCTCGTGTGAATGGATGTAGTTTTTTGTTCACATGCTGTGAAGTCGTTCCCTCTCAAGGGCGGCTTTGGGCTATGCTGACCTGGCCCTGTAGCCTCACCCTATAGAGTAGGGATGTGTGGACTCCAGATGTGATCATCTGTGAAGATCCACAAAAGAGTTAAGCCTGCAGAATCCTGAGTGCTCTACTGGGACTTGAAACTGAGGGGCTATGGCTGTAGCAGAATTGGGAATTGACATTTTCAGTACCCTAGATTCCAAAGAAGACATGAATGGGATTTATCTAATTCAGCTAGTTTATTAGAATTTCCATTTCTTGTCTCCACATCCCCACCTTCCCCCTGGTTTGGCTTCAGGTCTTGGCATACCAAGTGCTAGTATTACCAGCCTTTTCTCTACTGACTAGATTTGGTGGGTAGGGGTCGATGGTTATCCAGGCATTTGGCTAACACCTTTTGCAAACCCCTGGTAAGGGAAGCCTTGAGGGTAGGGAAGGAGAGATACTTCTCCATGTGGGCCCAAGGACAGTGCTTACAGTGGCGAGGGGTCAGGATGTCACTTGCTCTTCGCCCTGCCTCTGGCTGATCCTGGGGACCCGAAGCTTTGGGGAGAAGCAGCTGGGGAAGAGCAGTGTGTTGAGAGCTCTGGCCCCTGTGTTGAGACCTTTGGGGAAATGTGCTTACAGGGGCCTCTACTAGGCTTCTGGCCTGGGCAGGGTGGTTCTTCCCTGTGACTGTGGATAACCCCAACCTTGCAGTCCCTCTTCTATGGTCTCCTGCTTTGGGTTTCCTAGGGTGCTCTCTCTTTTTGGCTGAGGATGAGGCTGAAGCCTTGTCCTTTCTCTTGCCTGAGACCAGAACCTTAGAGTTTGAGGGTTCTCCTGGGCCTGGAGATAGATAGTCCACACCAGCCTCCATGTGTACACATGGCCCTTGGGATGGGACCTGGCTCACCATCTTCCCCTTCATTTTCTCCCCTCTCTGAGACCCTTGTTCCGCCCTGCCAGACTCCTGTGGCTGAAGCTGGGAAGAGGATTGGAAGTGATGACAGTGGGAGGACTGGACAGGCTGAGGTACTGTGCGCTGAACTTCTTGAGGATGACAACTTGAAGAGTGGGGGCATGGATTGGGGGGATAAATCTGCTGTGGTGGGCAGGAAGGGAGTCCCCAGAAGTCTGGAATTGTGGAGCTCAGAATAGGGGAGCTGCAAAATGATTGACTTGGGCCAGGGGCTCTGGAGGCAGGGCTCTGCCGCAGTTTCTTCAGCCTGAGTTTCAGCTCTCTACTCCACTGCCAGGCATGGATCCCAGGATGGGTGAGCAACTCTGGGACAGTCCATCTCTGGGAGAGTGGGGCCTCTGCCTTAACCCCTGGGCACGTTACTCCCTTGGGTAGACCAGGATGAGTGCGTTCAATCTTCACAGCTTCAGCTAGGGTGGGAGGCTGGGGTACTGGGTGTAGGGGATCCACTGCCAGAGGGCTGGGGCCTTGGGGAACTTCTCTTTGTTGCACATTTCTCCACACAAGTTCAAGGTCAATGTGTGGCTCTGGTAGAGGAGTAGAGAGTGAGCTGGGGGCTGGGAGCTCAGTGGCCCAGTGGTTCTTTCTTTGCTCCACTGCCTCCCCGTCAGGCTTATAGTTGCTTTGGTCTGCGATAGGCTCACTTACGTGGGACTTTGAAACAGAGTTTGAGGATGGGCTGGAGCCCCTACCTGGGAACACAGGAACACAGTTTTCTTTTTGCTCCATTTCCCCTACAATAGACTGAGAATCAGACAAGACTCCCAGAGGGCTGGCTCCATGCAGGTCTTGGGGTAAGTTACAAGCTGGGTGCTTAGAGGCCCAGGAGTTTTTTGTCTTTTGTATGTCCCCACATCTAGCTTCAGAATCAGACAGGACCCCCATGGATCTAACTCTGAGCAGCTCCGGTGCAAGAGCTGGGGGTGGGCTGAGGGCCAGAGATGGAGACCTAGAAGCCGAGGAATTCCTGGAATGCTCAGTATCCTTCCATGTAGCTTCTGATGTAGCGAGGCATTCCCCAGGATTGATTCTGTGTGGTTCCATAAGGGTGGTTGGAGGTGTGCTATGAACAGGGTCTGGGGAATCAGATGCCCAGAGGTTCTCTTTCTGCCCCATGGTCTCCCACAAAGCTTTGGATTCAGACAGGACTCCCTGGGGGCCCATTACTAGAGACTCCAGGAGAGGGACTGAGGGAAGGCTGGGAGGTGAAACTGGGTCTGCAGGGACCCAAATATTTTCTCTACTTTGCATGCCCTTCCATGGTGTCTCAGATGCTGGTGGGACACATTCAGGGCTGGTTCCAGAGAGCTCTGGGTTGAGGTCCAAGACTGGAGACTCAAAAGCCCAGAGGTTTCCTGAGTTTTCTCTGCATTCCCACTGGGGCTTATATCTGGATGGATCTTCCAGGGAACTCTCTCTCTGGAGTTCTGGCAGGGAGTCTAGGGGAGGGCAAGGGACTGGCATTGAAGACTCAGAGGCCTGAGGTTTCTCTCTGTATCCCACGGTTCCCCAGAAGTCCTTAGATATAGCAAGTCCTCCTTCAGGGCTAACTTTTCTGGGTTCTGACAGAGAAGCTGGGGATTGGCAGGGGGGTGGCATCGGAGGCTCAAAAGCTTGGGGCATCTTTTTGTGTCCTGTGGTTTCCAAATGAGTCTCATATCCAGGGAGAACTTCCAGGGGGCTAGTTCCAGGGGACTGTGTGGGTGCCTCAGCGCCAGATAAAACTCCCTTGTGGTCCACAGGGAAGGGCCTCAGATGGAGGAGTAGTGATGAGACAGAAGGAGAAGATGGAGGTGGAAGCAGCTGAGGATCGGGGGCCATCCCTTCTAGATCTTCCATAGTATGGGCCCCATGGGTAGAAAACTGGGCTGAGGAGTGATACTGGGGAAGCAACAGGTTGGACCTAGGTAGGAAGGCAAGCTTGTTGAAGAAGACAGAAGAACAAACAGACCACTTCAGAGGAGAGGGGCCACCTGAGCTCAGGAAGATGGCCTCCAAGGACTCGCTGTGCAGAGAGGGGAGACCCCAGAAGAGCTGGCTTTTTCTCTGCTGCTGGCGGTTCCCTGATGCTATCTTGTGCCTCACAGGAAAGCTGGTCAGAATCTGGAAGATGGGGAAGGATCTGGAAGGGCTCACGGGCTGCATGACTGTTTGCTCTGGTATCCCTATAGCCTTGAGGAGGCCCTCAGAACCACAGGATGGCTGGGGTGGGGCTGGAGTGGCTTGCTCTCCAGTGGGAGCTTCTTTGGTAGGAGAACATGGCTTCAGTGGATCCAGAGATGCCTCGTCTTCCCCCTCTTCCTCTTCTTCCCCTTCTTCCTCCACTTCTGATTTCTGCTTACACAGGTGATCAAGGAAGGCCACACGGTGCAGAAGTGGTAGTTCCTGGGAAGTAGATAAAGATATTCTCAGGCATGAAGCCTTTTCAGATACACAAGGTTTGCTATGAGGCACTCAGTCTGCTCCATATCCAGAGTGGACAGTTACTCACCTAATCCCACGTGTGTGGCCAGTCACCTACACAGCTCCTCATCTAGTGTTAATGGTCATTACCCAGTCCTCATTTGGAGATCAGTATTCCCTCATTCTACATCTAGAATCCATGGTCACTCACCTGGCTTCAAATCTAGTGTCAGTGGTTACTCACCCAGCCTCACATCTAGGGCTTATAGTCACTCACCTGGGCCCACATTCATACCAATGACCTCACATGTGGTGTCAGCAGTCATTCATCCAGCTGTACAGTCACAGGTCACCCACCTTGCCTTGCACCATATTCCCAGAGCACCAGGGATGAAGCTGTCGCAACCTCCCAAGCTGCCACCATCTCTGAATCTGCCAAACCACGAATAAGAATAGTGTCACCAGATTTCCTGGACTCTGGAAGCAGCTGCTGCCGCAGTGTCTGCAGGCTAGGGCATGGGTCAGTTGGCCCCAGAGAAGCCCCATATCCCCCTTAGCCCCAAGCAGGTCCTCCAGCAGCCATTCCATTTCCCTTAGCCTTCTGGCAGTTTACCCTGAGGTCATCATTGCATCACAGAACAAAGAACTCCCATCCCCCACAGAGGCCTGGGCTTAACAGCCTTCTCCCTGAATTTAGAACCAAAAAAAATTTCCTCTATCAGGCAATTCATGCTTCACACAGTGAAATGTGGGTGATCCCCTTTTGATTGCCCAGTTCAGAATTATGCTTCAGGCATTGTGGTTAAGTACATGGATTCTAGCACCGAACTGCCTTATTCAAATCATAGCTCTGTCATTTTCCTACCTGTGAAAACTCAAACTACTTAATTTTTTCAGTGCCTCATTTTTCTTATCTATAAAATAAAGATATCATTATCTTTATTTTATAGATATTTATTGTTATTATTTTGAGACAGAATCTCACTGTGTCACCCAGGCTGGAGTGCAGTGGTGTGATCACGACTCACTGCAGCCTCAACCTCCTGGGCTGAAGTGCTCCTCCTGCCTCAGCCTCCTGAGTAGCTGGGACCACAGGCATGTGCCACCGTGCCCAGCTAATTTTTATATTTTTTATTTTTGTAGAGACAGGATCTCTCTATATTGCCCAGGCTGGTCTCGACTCCTGAGCTCTAGGGATCCTCCCGCCTTGGCCTCCCAAAGTGGTGGGATTATAGGCGTGAACCATCTTGCCTGGCATATTATTCTTAGAGGCAAGGTCTCATTGTATTGCCCCGGCTGGTCTTGACCTCCTGAGCTCAAGAGAGCCTTCCATCTCAGCCTCTGAGTAGCTGGGATTACAGGCATGGGCCACTCTACCCAGCACAATAATATTATTACTTACTACACAGGGTTGTTTTGAGGATGTAAAAAGTAAAGTAGAGGTTCCTCTTCAAAGACTTTCCTCTCCATCTTATTAGGAATAAATAGTAACATCTCTTAGAAGCAAAATTTATTCAAAGACCTCTGTTAACATTCTTAAATATCTGCTAGCCGTAATAAATCAATTTACTTTATGTTCTTAGCTTCCACAATTTAGCCTAAATATTTGCCCTGGCATGCTTATATTGGTCCAAGCAAGCATTAGGTCATAGCCTGTTCCTCTTCCTTATTTGAAGGTGTTTTTACCTTTCTCAGCATTCCACAAGTTAACTTCCTCCTTCCTTTGTTCTCTGCCTTTGCCTCTTTTTAAAAAGTTCTAAGTTGTTAGCCAATCAGGACAAATACAGAAAGCGAGGTCCTGTTCCAGCCAATGGAAACCGGACACAGCAGTAGGGTGGATGCGTCAGGCTATAAATGACCCTGCCTCCTTTGTTCGGTGTACTCTTCATGGCAAAACTGCTGGTGAGTGTACCGTTTCTGCAGAAAGTAAAAATAGCCTTGCTGAGGAAATTAAATTTATGTTCAAGTGCTATTTCTTCACGGCACTGGGGAACAAGCATTTCTAACAAGGATTAAATGAATAAATATATATGCTTAGAATAATATAATGTATGCTGTATTAAATTTCTATTTAAGGTTTCTAATTATAAGCTTCATTCTGTCTTTAATGGTTGGGGTCTATCCCCTCTTTTTTATGCTCGTGTCAGCTGTGAACTGTGAAGCATTCATGTTAAGGATGACAAATAAATGTGCTTTGCCATTCTCATTTCCTCCATTTCCCCCTAAAACCACCACTTTGTTCCATGTCGGCCCTTCCTTTCAGGGCCACGCTTCAATCCCTGTCCTCATTAAAAGCTGATTTGTTCTGGTGGAAAGTGTGCTGAGCTGAAAGTGAGGAGACTTGGGTTCTCTAGCTCCATCACTGATCCACCACATGATCTTGAGAAACCAAAGAGAGGTTTCTCCATTGGTACCATGAGTTGGACTAGATTGATTGATTGATTCATGTAACATTTGTTGAATGCCTGTTATGGACCAGGTATTGTGCTCAGTCTTTAAACTGCAGAAGTAAGATAGAGTCTTTGCACTAAACTAGGTCCCATTTCATTGGGGGATCAGTGAAGTAACAGGTAATGAAAATAGAGATGCGCACAGAGTTTTATGGGGCCAGAGAACAGATTCCCACCAGTCTGAAGAAGGAGGTTGATGGTGAGGGGTGCTTCCCAGAGGAGATGATTAATGCTTTATTTGAGGAACCAAGAAAGTGAGGATGTAGTGTAGGGAGTGAGAGAAGGACAATCCAGGCAGTAGGAACAGCCTGTGTAAATGTGCTAGGGCAGAGAAACTATGCCCCATTATGGAAATTGAAGGTATTTCAGTGTGGCTGTAGTTTTGGATGGAGGTTGGGGAAGTGGTAGGAGATGAACCTAGAAAGACAAGATCACAAAGTCCCTGAACACCAGGCTAAGAAGTTGGAACTCTGTCACTTTTCAATGTGAAACCATTGAAAAGTTTTAAACAGGGAAGTGACAAGATGAAGTTTGTGTCTCGGAAATAACATTCTAGTGAGGGTAAAGACACAAAAGGCAAGAGGTTAGGTGAGTCTTGCTTTAGTTAAATAAAAACTAAAGTGAGGCCTGAACCATGTCAGTGATGGTGGGCATGGGAAATATGGATTCAAGTAGAACTCCAGAGATAAAATTGATTAGACTTGTTTACCAATAGGATAGGTTGGGGGAGAGAGGAAATTGAGGGTGACTCCAAGATTTCTGACTTGGGAAACTGGATGTTTGTTGGTGCAATTTCACTGAGATAAGAAACAAAGACCTGGGAACCAAGTTATGGTGGTTGGGGGGCGGTGATGGGTTCCATTTTAGATATTTGAATTTGAGGTTCTGGTGTCACCTCAAGGTAAAGCTAGGCAAGGGACAGATACATGGATCTGAAGCTTGGGAGAGCAGTCTATGGGGGGGATGTAGATTTGACCTCTAGCAGCATATATGTAGCAGCTGAAACCATTGAAGGGCATAAAGATGACCTACTTATGTGTAACATTTGGCCCAGACAGTGCTTTTTAACTGTGACCAACGGTGGTTTTTTTTGTTTTGTTTTGTTTTTTTTGAGATGGAGTCTCGCTCTATTGCCCAGGCTGGAGTGCAGTGGCGCGATCTTGGCTCACTGCAAGCTCCGCCTCCTGGGTTCATGCCATTTTCCTGCCTCAGCCTCCTGAGTAGCTGGGACTACAGGTGCCTGCCACCGCACCTGGCTGATTTTTTGTATTTTTAGTAGAGACGGGGTTTCACTGTGTTAGCCAGGATGGTCTCAATCTCCTGACCTCGTGATCTGCCTGCCTCAGCCTCCCAAAGTGCTGTGATTACAGGTGTGAGCCACCGCGCCCGGCAGCCAACGGTGTTTTTTTTTAAAAAAAAACTTTAATGAGTAGCCAATATTGTAAATCAGTAGATCGTACATAATATTTCCAACTTAAAATCTGGCAACACTGGACTTATATTCCCACAAAGTAAAGGCTATTTGGAGCTAAGTAGCAATTGCTCCCTTTGGAATGAACTTGTGCTCTCCAGTTCACTGCAGTTCTCACCCTGTTCTTAGAGTAAATGCCAAGACTGGGTATGGTGACTACTCACACCTGTAATCCCAGCACTTTGGAAGGCCAAGGCAAGAGGATTGCTTGAGACCAGGAGTTCAAGGCTGCAGTGAGCTATGATCATGCCACTGCACTCCAGTCAGGGCAACAGAGTGAAATCATGTCTCTTAAAGAAAAAAAAAAAAAAAGTTTATTGCCAAGACTAAGGGCTCGTTGCTGTTGATCATTGTGCCTATGATTTTGTTTTCTTCCACTTGTTTATTTTTACTAATTTATATTATCTGCGTGGTATTTGAATTTGCAACCACTAGTTGAAGAAGGTAAATTGAGTCCTGATGGAAGACAGAGAAGGTAATACTCAACACTTATTCTGTGCTTGTTTATTTACATTATGGCAAGATAATTTACCAGTTTCTGTCTCCTACTCCTTGCCAGATGGGATGACTAGTAGGATAAAAAGATAACTTGGCTTAATTTTCTTCCAGGAATACTGGATTTCTTGTCTCATGTGATTGCTTGTTTGTTTTTTTGGGACAGGGTCTCACTTTGTCACCCAGGGTGGAATGCAGTGGCATGATCTCAGCCCACTGCATGCTTGACCCCCCAGGCTCAAGTGATTCTCCCATCTCAGCCTCCCAAGTAGCTGGGACTGCAGGCACACACACACCACACCTGGCTAATTTTTGTATTTTTTTGTAGAGACAGTGTTTTGCAATGTTGCCCAGGCTGGTCTCGAACTCCTGGGCTTAATCGATCCACCTGCCTTGGCCTCCCAGTGTTGAGATTACAAGCATGAGCCACCACACCTGTCCTGTCTCATGGGATTGTTAGTGGCTTTGTGTTTCCAAACCAAAAAAAAAAAACCACCCAGCTAAATTAAATTCCCCTCCACACAGAACCTGGATAAAGTTGTAGAACAGTGGGGCAATCTCAGCTCATTGCAAACTTCACCCACCAGGTTCAAGCGATTCTCCTGCTTCAGCCTCCCAAGTATCTGGGATTACAGGTGCCTGCCAACATGCCTGGCTAATTTTTGTATTTTTATTAGAGATGGCATTTCACCATGTTGTCCAGGCTGGTCTCGAACTTCTGACCTCAGGTGATCCGCCCACCTCAGCCTCCCAGAGTGCTGGGATTATAGGCGTGAGGACACCATGCCTGGCCATGACTTCTGATAGGGAGTGCTGATTTAATGGCTTTGGAACTAAGCATCTAGCACTCTGTCTTGGGAGCTGCAGAGATCTGGTGTGCATACTTGGCAGAGATGCTATGAATCTGCCTGCCTTTGAATGGACCATATGGATTTAGACAATGGTCATCCCAGGAGCAACCATGACAGACTGAAGACCAGAGTCTCTTTTTTTTTTTCTCTCTTTCTTTATTTTATTTTTGTATTTTTTAGAAATGGGGTCTTTCTATGTTGCCCAGGCTGGTCTCCAACTCCTGGGCTCAAGTGATCCTCCCGCCTCAGCCTCCCAAAGTTCAGGGATTACAGGCCTGAGCCACTACACCTGGCCCAGAGGCTCTTTTCTAAGTTTTTTTTTTTTTTGTCAATGTACAACATGCTAAAGAGGGAAATGGGCCCCAATAAATGGTTGATGTTGGTTGTCTTTCCACCCTAGTAAATGGGGTTTTGAGCCCGAGTTAATTTAATTTAGAAAAATTAAATAATGTGTTGTTTTTTTTTTTGCTCCTCAGTGATGTGGAACACATTTATACTCTAACATTTATTATCTCATTTAATCTTTTTTCTTCTTTCTTTTTTTTTTTTTTCTGGCTTAAACAACAAGCATTTATTTCTCATAATTCTGGAGGCTGGGAAGTCCAAGATCACGGCCTCCTCAACTTCTTTTCCCCTCCACCCCCAGCAGCCAGCAGGTCTCAGAGGAACCAGAAGACATCAGATGGTAACTTTTTATCATTAAAAACCATTACATCCGATCTGCTTCTGTCCTGCTACTGTGGCTGGTGCCCCACTGGAGACCTCCCTTGACTCCCAAGCCGGGATGAGTGCCCTTATCACTGCTTCCCCAACCCCCACACAGCGCTTTCCACACTACGTTGTAACTTGTGGCTTAAATATGTCCTTTCAGACGGCAGGAACCTGGTACCCAGTTTACTGCTCTAACGTCAGCAACTGGCGCTTAGTATCTGGTTAGGACTCAGCAGTGAATGAACAAACTGTGAGCGTGGTTTTGGAGAGGCCCAGCCCAGTCTGCTCAGGGACGGAGCCTATCTTGGGGCAGGGCCGTCAGTGGGCGCTCTCAGGCTTCCTAGCAGCGGCCTCCCCGGGTATCTCCTCAGGAGGCTGAAGGCGCCTTAGCTTCCTTGATATGAGAGCTGAGCATTTAAGCTCACAACCGAGATTCGGGCGGAGCGCCCAAGAGGCATTTCCGCTGCAGGACCCGCCCCACCTCCCGGGCTTTCGGGCTTGTGGGACCCGCGCCGCCTCTCCAGCGTCCTGGTGGAGCATCGACGCGCAGCCACAGCCTCCATCGGAACTCGCGGGTTCTTCCTCGCCACCCTCCCCTCTGCCTTTCCCTTCTGCTATTCCTCTCTCCTGTTCCGCCCTCTCCGTAGGGATGTAGTGTTAAGGGCCCGGCAGCAACCCAGCTCCAGTTGCCACCTGGAGTTGGACCGGTCTCATCGAGTGTCTGAGAGGCCCAGCGTCCTGGCAGTGGCAGGACTGGTCAGTACAGTGAGATCTCACGGAGCCGCCCTTCCGTGAGGGGCTTGTGGGGCCGACGTCCGCTGGAGGGATAATGCCCACGGTCCTGGGGGAATTGTTTCCCAGGGGATGAGGGAGTTGTGAGGCCGCAGTGCCCCTGGTGGGCTGGTGGGAATGGGAAGTAGGAGCCCCGAAAAGTCGCATGGGTCAGAGTGTCAGCGGCCAGAGGTGAGATCGAGTCCCGAGGGGCAGAAGCTGAACCTGCCCTGCCGGCCCAGGATGGCATCTCGGAGGCCGAGCCATGGTGAGGCTTCTGGCAGACAGGAGAGACTGCAGGCTTCTAGAAGGCAGGAGCCTCTACAGCAGCTGCCTTCACATCTAGGTATTGGCACATGACTGCGTTTTGTGAGGGGCTCCTGTATGTCAGGTCCTGTGTTTGATAGGAACTCTAGCTATGTCCTGATAGAGGTGATAGGAAATGTTGTTTGTTTTAAAGTTTTCTCCGTTATTATAATATTATATAGTGAATTTGGAAAATGTGGAAAGGTAGAAGGAAGAATTTCATCAACCTCAAGTTTCTATATTTGCTGTTTCTATAGCAATTTGATGTATTTATTTCCAGACCTTGTTACTCTTTTTTTTTTTTTTTTTTTTTTTTTTAAAGACGGAGTCTCTCTATTGCCCAGGATGGAGTGCAATGGTGCAATCTCGGCTCACTGCAACCTCTGCCTCCCGCGTTCAAGTGATTCTCCTGCTGCGGCCTCCCTAATAGCTGGGCGCGCCATCACGCCTGGCTAGTTTTTTTGTATTTTTAGTAGAGATGGGGTTTCACCATATTGGCCAGGCTGGTCTCGAACTCCTGACCTTATGATCTGCCCGCCTCAGCCTCCCACAGTGTTGGGATTACAGACGTGAGCCACTGTGCTCGGACTTTGTTACTCATATTTTTATATTGTTTAAATCATATGTAGTGTTTATTTTATTTTATTTTATTTTATTTTTGGGACAGAGTCTTGCTCTGTCGCCAAGGCTGGAGTGCAGTGGCGCGATCTTGGCTCACTGCAACCTCCGTCGCCAGGGTTCAAGCGATTCTCCTGCTTCAGCCTCCCAAGTAGCTGGGATTACAGGCGCCCACCACCTTGCATGGCTAATTTTTTTTTTTTTTTTTTTTTTGCTGCTGTGCAGTAGCACGATCTCAGCTTACTGCAACCTCCGCCTCCCTGGTTCAAGCGATTCTCCTGCCTCAGCCTCCTGAGTAGCTGGGATTACAGGCGTGCATCACCACACCCGGCTAATTTTTGTATTTTTAGTAGAGACGGGGTTTCATCATGTTGGTCAGGCTGGTCTTGAACTCCCGACCTCATGATCTGCCCGCCTCGGCCTCCCAAAGTGCTGGGATTACAGGCATGAGCCACCGTGCCTGGCAACACCTGGCTAATTTTTGTATTTTTAGTAGAGATGAGGTTTCACCATCTTGGCCAGGCTGGTCTCAAACTCTTGACCTCGTGATCCACCTGCCTCAGCCTCCCAAAGTGTTGGGAGGCCAGCCCGTAGTGTTTTTTAAAGGTAGGAAAGCAGTTAACATTTTATTATAAACCTTTTCTACACTCTGTAAACTTCCTAACCATTTTTTTTTTTTTTTTTTTTGAGGCAGAGTCTTGCTCTGTTGCCCAGGGCGGAGTGCAATGGCTCAATTCTGGCTCACTGCAACCTTCGCCTCCCAGGTTCAAGCAATTCTCCTGCCTCAGCCTCCTGAGTAGCTGGTATTACAGGCATGCACCACCAAGCCTGGATAATTTTTTTCTTTGTTTGTTTTTTAGATGGAGTCTTGCTCTTGTCACCCAGGCTGGAGTGCAGTGGCATGATCTCAGCTCACTGCAACCTCTGCCTCCTGGGTTCAAACAACTTTCCTGTCTCTGCCTCCCAAGTAGCTGGGATTACAGGTGTCCGCCACAATGCCCGGCTAATTTTTGTATTTTTAGTAGAGACGGGGTTTTGCCATATTGTGCAGGCTGGTCTCGAACTCCTGACCTCAGGTGATCCAACTGCTTTGGCCTCCCAAAGTGCTGGGATTACAGGCTTGAGTCACCGCACCCAGCCTAATTTTTATATTTTTAGTAGAGACGGGGTTTTCCATGTTAGCCAGGCTGGTCTCAAACTCCTGGGCTCAAGCAATCAGCACACCTCGGCCTCCCTAAGTGCTGGGATTACAGGTGTGAGCCACTGGCGCCTGGCCTAAACATCATTTTTAATGACTATGATATTTTTCCAAAGTGGATATACTGTAATAATTAACCATTCTATTTTTTTTTACTTTTAGATGGTTTCCAATTTTTGATACTGTAAGACTTGCTTAATATCTATACATAATTATATTTTGCTTATGAGCATTTTTTAAAAACCTATAAAACTTGTCATGAATTTCAGATTATTTCCTAACCCTGAATTCCACACTTGGATCATTGTGCTTCTGTCTCTCCTTAGGTGAATTAGCCACTTTTGTAGTTAATTATTTCAGCATTGACTTCTCATATGAGCTTCAATCTCATAAATCCAGTTGCTTGATAAGCATCTCCAAGCTTGATTCGCCATAAGTACTCAGACCTAACATCTTCATTATTTAGGGCATTATCATCTGTCCCAATGTGGTCTTCCTGTTGTATTCCCCAAATCAATTAATATCACCTAGTCACCCAAGCAAGAAACACAGGAGCCATTCTATGCTGCTTCCCCTTCATCCTTCCCAAAAGTAATCACCAGCTTTTGCTAATTTTAGCTGCAGTTTCTCAAATCTGCCTCTCCTCCCACCCTTACAGACACCCTGGTAGTTCAGACGCTCATCATTTCTCCTGTAACCTGTGCAGCAGTTGATCTGTAGCTGATCCTAGCTGATCTCTGTTCCTCCAGCTTTGCCCATCTTAAATCCTTTTCCCTCACTACTAACAAAGCAGTCTACATAAAACAAAACTGATCATGTTATTCCCCTCCTTAAAGTCCTTCAGTGAGGCCATACTTCCTACGTATGGTATACAAAGCCCTCTATCTCCTGATATGCTACTTCTTCAGCTTCTCTTGCTCTTTCCTGCTCTGCATTTATTACTCTAGTAACAGAGGACACTTGAAGTTTTCCCTGAGTCCCCCATGCTGTTCAGTGTGTCCATGTCTTTGCTTATGATTTTGATTTCTTGGTATGGAATGCCCTACCACTTTTTTCCACCTAATTCTTTTTTTTCCTTCATATCCTGATGGCATTATATCTTGACTAATTATTTTTATTTTTATTTTTTTTGAGATGGAGTCTCACTCTGTTGCCTGACCTGGAATGCAGTGGTGCGATCACTGCAAGCTCCGCCTCCCGGGTTCACGCCATTCTCCTGACTCAGTCTCCCAAGTAGCTGGGACGACAGGCGCCCATCACCACGCCCGGCTAATTTTTTTTTGTATTTTTAATAGAGACGGGGTTTCACCATGTTAGCCAGGCTGGTCTCGATCTCCTGACTTTGTGATCCGCCCACCTCAGCCTCCCAAAGTGCTGGGATTACAGGTGTGAGTCACCGCACCCGGCCTATCTTGACTAATTCTTAATTGTCCTTCTAGCCCAACTCAAGCATCATATCCTCAGGGAACTTACCCTGAAGGTCCAGGTTGACCTAAATGTCCCTTCTTTCTGCTTTACATACTGCTTATCTCTGCCTTTCAGTTAAAACACTTTAAACGTATTTACTTCATATACTATTTTTTTAATTTTAATATCTGCAGTCTGTGTATGTCTTACATTTCAGTTTGTAGTCTCTCTTGACTCTGCTCATGGTTGTCTGTTTCCTTGTATGTTTGATATTTTATTAGGAATTCATATTTGGTTAAACTTCAACTTTGGGAATCCTGAGAGGTCTGGGTTGAGATGATTTGTCTTGGTTTCTTCTGCGTGCTAGGGAACACTATCTTTTATTTATTTATTTATTTATTTATTTTTAATTTTTATTTTTTGAGACAGAGTCTCCCTCTGTCTCCCAGGCTAGAGTGCGGTGGTGCTATCTCGGCTCACTGCAGCCTCTGCCTCCTGAGTTCAAGCAATTCTCCTGCCTCAGCCTCCTGAGTTGCTGGGATTACAGGTGCCTGCCACCACATCCAGCTAATTTTTGTATTTTTAGTAGAGACAGCGTTTCACTCTGTTGCCCAAGCTGGTCTCGAATTCCTGACCTCAAGTGATCTGCCCACCTCGGCCTCCCGAAGTATAGGGATTACAGGCGTGGGCCACTGTGCCCAGCTGGGAACACTATCAACCTAGGACTGTATTTCTACTTATTTCTTGAATTGGGGTTTATCAGACTCTGAGTATGGTGTACATTCAAATGCTGGAACTGCATGAGACTAGGGCTATGATTATAAATGATTAGGGAAAATGATTAATGTTATTAGTCCTTTCCACCCCATTTTGCCATTTTTGTCTATTTCTCAAATGTTTCTCTCCTCCCTATTCTTACTATTACCAGGGACAGACTGGTTTTCTTGTTGGTTCACGTTACCAGTATGCAGATTTTTCTCTTCACCTCATCAACAGGTGATATAGCCCTTTTGGGTGCTTGGCTTTAAGTACAGTTCTTAGATTCAGCTCCTCTACTTTGTCAAGTCTAAATACTATTCCTCAGTGATGCTGATAACCAGCAAAGTTTTAGTTTCTATGTTGGGCATATTTTTGGGGCAGCCCTGTAAGGATGTGCTCCATGGTACAATGACTTCATGCGTGCAGGTCTTAAGTGGATCCTAAGATAGGATCTTGGATCCTGAAGATAGTTCAGAATATTTGCAGGAGAGCAGAGTCCCTCAACACCCATTCCTCAGTCACCTTCCCTTCTCAGGTGTCTGTGGGTCAAATGTTTCCTTTGTAGTTGAGCTAATCTGGAGAGCACTGCTAAAATGTTAGAGTCTAAGTAAGCTCTGTACCCAGGGGATAAAATGTTACTGGACAGAGCATACATGTATCTGTTAGAGTGAGATTCTTTGCTCTTTTCAGTAAAGGACTACTGACTCAAAATCAATTGAAGATCACATACAGGAAAACTTTGAGGTTTTTTTTTTTTTCTTCCTCAAATCATGGGAGAGATTTTCAAAGAAGAAAAAATAGAAAATATTTTAATGCACTTTAAAAATACAGGTTTGTCTGCACCATCTGTCAGGTAAAAAAAAATGAATTTTAGGGAAAGAGCACAGATGTTTATTAATTCAATGTAGAAAGTATATTACTGGCTGGGCCAGGTGTGGTGGCTCACACCTGTAATCCCAGCATTTTGGGAGGCCAAGGTGGATGGATCATGAGGTCATGAGTTCAAGACCAGTCTGGCCAGGATGGTGAAATCCCATCTCTACTAAAAATACAAAAATTAGCTGGGTGCGGTTGTGGGTGCCTGTAATCCCAGCTACTCGGGAGGCTGAGTCAGGAGAATTGCTTGAACCTGGGAAGTGGAAGTTGCAGTGAGCCAAGACTGTGCCATTACACTCCAGCCTGAGCGACAGAGCAAGACTCCGTCTCAAAAAAAAAAAAAAAAAATTATATTATTGGCTGGGAGCAGTGGCTCACACCTATAGTCCCAGCACTCTGAGAGGCTCAGGCAGAGGATTGCTTGAGGCCAGGAGTTTGTTACCAGCCTGGGCAACATAGTGAGACCCTGTATCTACAAAAAAAATTAAAAGATTATCCAGGTGTGGTAGTGTGTGCCTGTAGTTCAGCTACTCAGGGGGCTGAGGTGGGAGGTGACATAGCAAGACCCTGTCAAAGAAAAAAAGAGAGAGGAAGGAAGGAAGGATCATATTAATTTATTTATAATGAATGTCTGCCTTAGTTTATTTAGTGTTGCTATAAGGAATACCTGAGGCTGGGTATTTATAAGGAAAAGAGGTTTATTTGGCTCATGGTTCTGCAGCATCTGCTTCTGGTGAAAGCTTCAGGCTGCTTCCACTGTGGTGGAAGATGAAGTGGAGCTGGCATGTGCAGAGATCACATGGTGAGAGAGGAAGCAACGGGGGAAGTGAGGTGCCAAGCTCTTTTTAATAACCAGCTCTCACTGAACTAATAGAGTAAGTTGTGTTACTTCAAGGATGGCACCAAGCCATTGGTGAAGGATCTGCCTCCAGGATCCAAACAGTTACCATTAAGCCCCACCTCCAACACTGGGGATCAAATTTCAACATGAGGTTTGGGTAAAGGATGTTCCAGTAAAGGACTGCTGACTAAAAATCAATTGAGGATCACAAACAGCGACAGATTTGGATGTTTGGGACAAAGAAGCATGCTGCCCCTGGCCTTCCAAATCTCATGTCCTTCCATACAAAATATAATCATTCCATCCCAATAGTCTCCAAAAGTCTTAACTTGTTCTAGCATCAACTTATAAGTCCAAAGTCTCACCTGAGACTTAAGTCAAGTTCCTTAAAGCTATGAGCCTTTAAAATAAAAATCAAGTTATTTACATACAAGATATAATGGTTGTACAGGCACTGGGTAAACATGTTCCCATTCCAAAAGGGAGAAATTGGCCCAAGAAAGGCGTAACAGGCCCAGGCATAGTGGCTGAACAACTGTAATCACAACACTTTGGGAGGCTGAGGTGGGAGGATCGCTTGAGGCAAGGAGTTGGAGACATGCCTGGGCAACATAATGAGACAGGTCTCTACAAACATTTTAAAAATTAGCTGGGTGTGGTGGTGTGCGCCTGTAGTCTCAGCTACTTAGGAGAATGAGGTGGGAGGATTGCTTGAGCTCAGGAATTTGATGATGTAGTAAGCTATAATGGTGCCACTGGACTCCAGCCTGGGAGACAGAATGAACTATGATCGTGCTACTGCACCTATATATATAGGTGTGTGTGTGTAATGGACCTTATGCAAATCCAGAACCCAGCAGAGCAGACATTAAATCTTAAAGTTCCAAAACAATCTCCTTTGACTTCATGATCTGCATCCTAGGCACACTGGTGTGAGGGATGGACCTCAAAGGCCTCAGGCAGCCTCACTCCCATGGCTTTGCTCAGTCCATGTGGCTGTTCTCATGGGTTAGGTTGAATGCCTACAGCTTTTCCAGGCTGAGGTTGCACACTGCCAGTGGCTCTATAATTCTGGGGTCTGGAGGACAATGGCCCTGCTTCCACAGCTCCACTGGGCATTGCTCTAATACAGGTCTCTATGGGGGCTGCAATCTCACATTCCTGATTGTCATTACCTTAGCAGAGGCTCTCTGTGGTAGCTCTGCCCCTTCAGCAGGCTTCTGCCTGGACACCTAGGCTTTCTGATGCATCCTCTGAAATCTAGGTGGAAGCCACCAAGAGTTCTCCACCACTCTTGCATTCTGGGTGCCTGCAGACTTAACAACATGTGATAGCTGATAAGACTTATGGCTTGTGCACTCCAGAGCAGCATCCTGAGTGGCACCTGAGGTTCTTTGAGCTGTGGCTGGAGCCAGAGTGGCTGGGATGTGGGAGCAGCATCTCTAGGCAGCACAGGGCACAGAGCCCTGAGCCTGTCCTCCAAAAACCATTCTGTCCTCCTGGACCTCTTAGCTTGTGATGGGAGAGACTACCTATCTTCTGAAGTGCCTTTGGGGACTTTTCCCCATTGCCTTAACTATCAGCATGATTAACTTTTAGTCATGCTCTCTTGCAAGTCATCTCTCTTGCAAATGGTTGCTCCACAGCACCCTTGGATTCCTCTCCTGAAAATGCTTTTTCCTTTTCTATTACATGGCCAGACTACAAATTTTTCAAATTTTTATATCTGCATCCCTTTAAATTATAAATTCCACCTTTAGATCTGTGAAAGGTAAATAAATGTCAGACCTCAAAATCACTAATCCAAGGGGAAAGTCAAGCTAGGAACTGTGTCAGGAAAACCTGCCTCTCATTTTGTTTGTAAAGAAGATAGCTACAAAGATTAAAAAAAAAAAAAAAAGCTACATACCTCCCTCACAATTTTCCCACAGCAATTTTTTGTGGGCCTCAAGATCTTTACTCTAAAACAGTTCTGTTGAATTTCACCCGGGCAATGTAAACTGATAGCTTCTTTTCACAGGTGTGGGACAGGAAGTCATCCCTCTGAGACAAATGCATATCTGATTGCTTCCTCAGCCCTATTGTTTATGTAAAAATGCAGATTCACTGAGCCAGACTAAATTGTGTATTCAGTGAAAGGCTGATCAAGGATTCAAAATAATGAAATCTTTTGTTTCTTATCTACCTATGACCTGGAAGCCCCTGCTCCCCCAACTTCAAGTTGTCCTGGCTTTCCAGACTGAACCAATGTACATCTTACACATATTGATTGATGTCTCGTGTCTCCCTAAAATGTATAAAATCAAGCTGTACCCCAACTGCCTTGGGTACATGTCATCAAGTCTTTCTGAGGCTGTGTTATGGGTGTGTCCTTAACTTTGGCAAAATAAACTAGAAAAATTGATTGAGACCTGACTCAGATATTTTGGGTTCACAGTTTGGTAACCACGAAGGGATTCTGAGTGGAAGTGCCCCTGATCTTTGACAAATCTCCTTTTGGTGCTTGGTACTAGCTTGAGCTATCCTTATGACTCAAACCAATAGAACAATTTGCTGATGCCTGGGAGCTCCCTTCCCTCCAGAGAATCCCTGGTCTCTACCCAAATTTGTTTGAGATCTAATGTTTATTTTGCTGTACAACTTTTCTGGAGTTTTACTTGCTTCCAACAAGGAAGGCAAGTTTTCCTGCTTCCATGCTGATGGTGGGCAGGTAACCCCCTTCTGGAGTTTCAGCCCTCTTCCAAGAGGGAGGGTGAGTTTGAGCTTTTTCCCGCTTCTAGGATGGTAGAGAGCAGTCTTCAGTTTGAGCCCCATTCCTTGGTAAGTAGCTGAATTGGGTTTTTGTCTTGGCTAAAGTTAAGATTAACAACCAGCTAGTCTTAATTTCTCCTTATAATTAGAGTGCTCAGTAATTGTATAAATTGTGTGATCATTTGTTTGTTTTGCTTAACTGTTTTTTGTTTTGTTTTTTTGTTTCTGTTTTTGTTGTTTCTGTCTCACTTTGTGGAGTCCTAATTAGGGAAAAGGGGACAAGCTGGCGAGATCAGGGGAAAGCAAAGAGATAAAGCAGATAAGCTATAATAGGTCTGCCTTTCTTTGTGGCCCAGGACACAAACATTATCTGTGCAGATAATGTACAACTCACACTCTTCCTGCTTATCAGATGGTTCCATTTATCATCAAACACCTTGGCTGACAGAAATGTTGCAAGTTAGCTCCTCTGCAACCTTGTCATTATCAGTACTACATGTAGCACTCTGCAGCCCAAGAACCAGCTTATAAAATCTCCAGCAAGCCTTTGTTTTCTTGCAGTCACTTCCTCTCTTGCTGATTCTGTTACTGGAAAGGGGTCCCAATCCAAACCCCAAGAGACGGTTATTGGATCTCACGCAAGAAAGAATTCAGGGGGAGTCCATAAAGTGAAAGCAAGTTTATTAGCAAAGTAAAGGAAGAAAGAATGGCTACTCCACAGGCAGAGCAGCCCTGAGGGCTGCTGATTGCCCATTTTTATGTTTATTTCTTGATTATATGCTAAAAAAGGGGTGGATTATTCATGCCTCCCCTTTTTAGACCATATAGGGTAACTTCTTGATGTTGCCATGGCATTTTTAAACTGCCATGGCCCTGGTGGTAGTATAGCAGTGAGGACGACCAGAGGTCACTCTCGTGTCCATCTTGGTTTTGGTGGGTTTTGGCCGGCTTTGGCTTCTTTACGCAAACTGTTTTATCAGCAAGGTCTTTATGACCTGTATCTTGTGCTGACCTCCTATCTCATCCTGTGACTAATGCCTTCATCATCTGGGAATGCAGCCCAGTAGGTCTCAGCTTCATTTTACCCAGCCCCTATTCAAGATGGAGTTGCTCTGATTCACACACCTCTGATAATTCTGCCCATTGCTTTTTTGAAACATATTTTAATACTTTCTCTAATAAATATGCCTTTCTTTACCTACAACTGTCTTGGTAAATTTTTTGTTTTGTTTTGTCTTTTGAGACAGAGTTTCTGTCACCCAGGCTGGAGTGCAGTGGCATGATCTTGGCTCACTGCAACCTCTGCCTCCTGGGTTCAAGTGATTCTCTTGCCTCAGCCTCCCGAGTAGCTGAAATTACAGGCATGTGCCACCATCCCAACTAATTTTTGTATGTTTAGTAGAGACGGGGTTTCACCATGTTGGCCATGCTGGTCTCAAACTCCTCAAGTGATCCGCTGGCCTCGGCCTCCCAAAGTGCTGGGATGACAGGCATGAGCCACCATGCCCAGCCATGTTGGCCAGGCTGGTCTCAAACTCCTGACTTCAAATGATCTGCCTGCCTAGGCCTCCCTAAGTGCTGGGATGACAGGCATGAGCCACCACGTCCAGCCAAATTTTTTTTTAAAGGAGCTCAATGTTTAAAAGTCAGCTTAATTAAAAGCTAATATTCAAGGTGTGTGTGTGTGTGTGTGTGTGTGTGTGTGTGTATTTAAAAGGCCTTTGTGGTTTTCTTTTCTCTCCTAGGACCTTGTTTTGTTTTTTTCTTTTGTTCTTTCTTTTTTTTTTTGAGAAAAAGGTTTTTTTTTTCTTCTTAGTCAACTGAATTCTGTTTTCTTCATTTACTTCTGCTGTCTCTCCTTTCTCTTGCCACCCTCTGCTTCATGAGGAATCTAAAATAGTTTCTAACAGCCTGAGATTCCTTAAAGAAAACAGAGAAGGTGCCAGACTCCCTTTCGGGAAGAAATCTCTGTTTTTCCTTATGGAACCCCAAGAGTGTAAACAGGCGAGTTCATCTCAGATCTTAAACTGCTTGCTTTTGTATTGTGTTACCTGATTTTTTTTGACTAAAACAGTTATTACAACAGAGGTTACTCTTGGGTGTTTAAATCAAGGAAGAGTTTGGTTTAGACACTTAGAGAAATGTCTTTGTTAAAAAAAAAAGTGCACTGTAAAAACATCACATGGTCTAGCCTCATAATAATTGTCAGGCCTCTGAGCCCAAGCTAAGCCATCATATCCCCTGTGACCTGCACGTATACATCCAGATAGCCTGAAGCACTTGAAGATCCACAAAAGAAGTGAAAATAGCCTTAACTGATGGCACTCCACCATTGTGATTTGTTTCTGTCCCACCCTAACTGATCAATGTACTTTGTAATCTCCCCCACCCTTAAGAAGGTTCTTTGTAATCTCCCCCGCCCTTAAGAAGGTTCTTTGTAATTCTCCCTACCCTTGAGAATGTAGTTTGTGAGATCCACCCCCTGCCTGCAAAACATTGCTCCTAACTCCACTGCCTATCCCAAAACCTATAAGAACTAATGATAATCCCACCACCCTTTGCTGACTCTCTTTTTGGATTCAGCCCGCCTGCACCCAGGTGAAATAAACAGCCTTGTTGCTCACACAAAGCCTGTTTGGTGTTCTCTTCACGCGGATGTGACAGACATCTGGTGCCGAAGACCCGGGTCAGAGGGACTCCTTCAGGAGACCAGTCCCCTGTCCTCACCCTCACTCCATGAAGAGATCCACCTATGTATGACCCTGGGTCCTCAGACCAACCAGCCCAAGGAACATCTCACCAATTTCAAATTGGGTAAGCGGTCTTTTCACTCTCTTATCTAGCCTTTCTCACTACCCTTCAATCTCCCTGTCTTTCTAATTCCAGTTCTTTTTCCTCTCTAGTAGAGACAAAGTAGACACATTTTATCCATGGACCCAAAACTCTGGCGCCAGTCATGGACTCAGGAAGACAGCCTTCCCTTGGTGTTTAATCATTGTGGGGACGCCTGCCTGATTATTCACCCACACTCCATTGGCGTCTGATCACCGCGGGGATGCCTGCCTTGGTCATTCACTGACATTCCCTTGGTGGCAAGTTAGTTGCGGGGATGCCTGCTTTGGCTGCTCACCCACATTGCAGCCTAGGGCTGCTCCCCACCCTCCTTCTCCGTGTCTCTACCTTTCTCTTTAAACTTACCTCCTTCACTATGGGCAACCTTCCGCCCTCCATTCCCCCTTCTTCTCCCTTAGCCTGTGTTCTCAAGAACTTAAAACCTCTTCAACTCACACCTGACCTAAAACTTAATGCCTTATTTTCTTCTGCAATACCACTTGGCCACAATACAAACTCAACAGTAGTTCCAAGTGGCCAGAGAATGGCACTTTTGATATGTCTATCCTACAAGATCTAGATAATTTTTGTTGAAAAATGGGCAAATGGTCTGTGGTGCCTGACGTCCAGGCAATCTTTTATACATTGGTCCCTCCCTAGTCTCTGCTCCCAATGTGACTCATCCCAAATCTTTCTTCTTTCTCTCCTGTCTGTTCCTTCAGTCTCCACCCCAAGCTCTGAGTCCTTTGAATCCTTCTTTTCTACAGACCCATCTGACCTCTCCCCTCCTCCCCAGGCTGCTTCTCGCTAGGCCGAGCCAGGTCCCAACTCTTCCTCAGCCACTGCTCCCCCACCCTATAATCCTTTTATCACTTCCTCTCCTCACACCCGGTCTGCTTTACAGTTTCGTTCTGCGACTAGCTCTCCCCCACCTGCCCAACAATTTCCTCTTAGAGAAGTGGCTGGAGCTGAAGGCATAGTCTGGGTACATGTGCCTTTTTCTGTATCAGACTTTTCCCAAATCAGCCAGTGTTTGGGCTCTTTCTCATCAGACCCCACTAAATATATACAGGAATTCCGATATCTAACTCTGTCCTGCAAGTTAACCTGCAGTGACTTAAATGTCATCCTGACTTCCACCCTCTCCCCAGATGAACAGGAAAGAGTTTTTTCTCTAGCCCAGTCTCACGCTGACAACCGCTGGCTTCATGAGCCAGGCCTCCAGGAAGGCATCAGAGCAGTTCCCCGAGAGGACCCCCAAAGGAACTATCAGGCAGATTCCCCAGGTATAGCTAGGCGAGATTACATGATTTCCTGCCTAGTTGAAGGGCTTAAAAAGGCAGCACACAAAGCTTTTAATTATGACAAAATTAAAAACTACCCGAGGTAAAGACGAAAACCCAGCCCAGGTCATGGCCCGCTTAGCAGCAACCCTTAGACGCTTTACCGCCCTAGACCCAGAGGGGCCGGAAGGCCGCCTTATTCTCAATATGCATTTTATTACCCAGTCCGCTCCCGACATTAGAAAAAGCTCCAAAAATGAGCTTCCAGTCCTCAAACCCCACAACAGGACCTAATTAACCGCGCCTTCAAGGTGTACAATAATAAAGAGTTGCAATTACTTGCCTCTGCTGTGTGAGAAACCCCAGCCATATCTCCAGCACACAAAAACTTCAAAACGCCTAAGCCACAGCAGTCAGGCATTCCTTCAGGACTTCCTCCCCCAGGATCTTGCTTCAAGTGCTGGAAATCTGGCCACTAGGCCAAGGGATGCCCACAGAACTGGGACTCCTCCTAAGCCGTGTCCCATCTGTGTGGGACCCCACTGGAAACTGGACTGTCTAACTGGCCCAAGGCTCTGACTGACTCCTTCCCAGATCTTCTCGGCTCAGTGGCTGAAGACTGACGTTGCCTGATCACCTCGGAAGCCTCCTGGACCATCACAGACGCTTTGGGTAACTCTTACAGTGGAGGGTAAGTCCGTCCCCTTCTTAATCAATACGAAGGCTACCCACTTCACATTACCTTCTTTTCAAGGGCCTGTTTCCCTTGCCTCCATAACCGTTGTGGGTATTGATGGCCAGGCTGCTAAACCTCTTAAAACTCCCCAACTCTGGTGCCAACTTGGACAACATTCTTTAATGCACTCCTTTTTAGTTATCCCCACCTGCCCAGCTCCCTTATTAGGTCGAGACATTTTAACTAAATTATCTACTCCCCTGACTATTCCTGGGCTACAGCCACACCTCATTGCTGCCTTTCCCCCCAGTTCAAAGCCTCCTTCACATCCTCTCTTTGTATCTCCCCACCTTAATCCACAAGTATAGGACACCTCTACTCCCTCCTTGGCGATGGATGACGTACCCCTTACCATCCCATTAAAACCTGATCACCCTTACCCTGCTCAACACCAGTATCCCATCCCACAGCAGGCTTTCAAAGCATTAAAGCCTGTTATCACTCGCCTGTTACAGCATGGCCTTTTAAAGCCTATAAACACTCCTTACAATTTCCCCATTTTACCTGTCCAAAAACTGGACAAGTCTTACAGGTTAGTTCAGGATCTGCGCCTTATCAACCAAATTGTCTTGCCTATCTACCCCGTGGTGCCAAACCCATAGACTCTCCTATCCTCAGTACCTCCCTCCACAACCCATTCTGTTCTAGATAAACCTAGCTGACCCCATAAATCCTAAATTCTTTCCCCACTCCCCTTTCCATTTCTTAAAAAACAGCCCTAAAAGCTGCTCCCACACTAGCTCTCCCTAACTCATCCCAGCCTTTTTCATTACACATAGCTGAAGTGCAGGGCTGTGCAGTCAAAATTCTTACACAAGGACTGGGACCGTGCCCTGTGGCCTTTTTATCCAAACAACTTGACCTTACTGTTTTAGCCTAGCCCTCATGTCTGTGTGCGGCAGCTGCCACTGCCTTAATACTTTTAGAGGCCCTCAAAATCACAAACTATGCTCAACTCACTCTCTACAGTTCTCATAACTTCCAAAATCTATTTTCTTCCTCATACCTGATGCATATACTTTCTGCCCCTCTCCACTACCTCTCAGCAAGTCAAACTCATTGCCTTAACTCAAGCCCTCACCCTTGCAAAGGGACTACGTGTCAATATTTATACTGACTCTAAATATGCCTTCCATATCCTGCACCACCATACTGTTATATGGGCTGAAAGAGGTTTCCTCACTACGCAAGGGTCCTCCATCATTAATGCCTCTTTAATAAAAACTCTTCTCAAGGCCACTTTACTTCCAAAGGAAGCTGGATTCATTCACTGCAAGGGCCATCAAAAGGCGTCAGATCCCATCGCTCAGGGCAACACTTATGCTGATAAGGTAGCTAAAAAAGCAGCTAGCATTCCAACTTCTGTCCCTCATGGCCAGTTTTTCTCCTTCTCATCGGTCACTCCCACCTACTCCCCCACTGAAACTTCCACCTATCAATCTCTTCCCACACAAGGCAAATGGTTCTTAGACCAAGGAAAATATCTCCTTCCAGCCTCACAGGCCCATTCTATTCTGTCATCATTTCATAGCCTCTTCCATGTAGGTTACAAGCCGCTAGCCCACCTCTTAGAACCTCTCATTTCCTTTCCATCATGAAAATCTATCCTCAAGGAAATCACTTCTCAGTGTTCCGTCTGCTATTCTACTCCTCCTCAGGGATTGTTCAGGCCCCCTCCCAGTCCTCCCATTTCATTACCACTTGGCTAGCCCTGTGATTATTAAATTCTTTCTTTGCTGCCAAAAAAAAAAAAAAAGAAAAGAAAGGAATTTGGAAGTCTAAAATAGGGAAAAAGAGGTTTTATGAATCTATAAGATCTACTTCTACCTGCGTGTCTAATACATCTACATATTTATGTGTCATGTATATGATGTTTCATTACTAAAAATATATAAAAGAGCTTTAATTAATTGGCTTAAAGAAAAAAGCACTTAATCAAATACTTTATTAGAAAATTGAGACTTTAAACCAAGTGCTTTTTCAACTTCAAGTGACTTAAGTAAATCATTTTTTTTTTTTTTTTGAGACGGAGTCTCACTCTGTCCCCCAGGCTGGAGTGCAGTGGCACCATCTCGGCTCACTGCAAGCTCCGCCTCCCGGGTTTACTTATGCCATTCTTCTGCCTCAGCCTCCCGAGTAGCTGGGACTACAGATGCCTGCCACCACACCAGGCTAATTTTTTGTATTTTTAGTAGAGATGGGGTTTCACTGTGTTAGCCATGATGGTCTCGATCTCCTGACCTCATGATCCGCCTGCCTCGGCCTCCCAAAGTGCTGGGATTACAGGCGTGAGCCACCACACCCAGCCTCAACTTAAGTAAATCTTTAATAAATAAGCTGGTTTTAAAAATACTGGTGAAGTAGAATTAGAAATGGCTTCAGAATTGATCTCTGCTAGATGTCAACATTTGGCATGAAGGTTGTAAAGCTATGAATGTAGCCCAAAAGAGAATTGTTTATGTAAAATTTGATATATAAGGCATTTAATATTGTTTAGTTAATGAAAACAGCTAAATCCTGAATTTTTGGTAAACAAAACACCATTTATCTAATCTTAAGTTTCTTACCTAGGAAAATCTGAAATTTACAGATTATAAAAATGGTTAACCGTATGAAAAAAAGGTCAACATCACTGATCATTAGAGAAATGCAAATCAAAACCACAATGAGGCCAGGAGCAGTGTCTCGTGCCTGTAATCCCAGTACCTTGGGGGCCAATGTGGATGGATCACTGGAGGTCAGAAATTCGGGACCAGCCTGGCCAACATGGTGAAACCTTGTCTCTACCAAAAATACAAAAATTAGCTGGGCATGGTAGCACATGCCTGAAATCCCAGCTACTCAGGAGGCTGAGGCAGGAGAATTGCTTGAACCCAGTAGGTGTAGGTTTCTGTGAGTCAAGATCGTGTCACTGCACTCCAGCCTGGGCAACAAAGCGAGACTCTGCCTCAAAACAAACAAAACCCCCAGAAAACCCACAGTGATATACCATCTCATGCCAGTCAGAATGGCGATTACTAAAAAGTCCAGAAACAACAGATGCTGTCAAGGTTGCAGAGAAAAAGGAACACTTTTACACTGTTGGTGGGAGTGTAAATTGTGGAAGACAGTGTGGCAATTCCTCAAAGATCTAGAGGCAGGAATACCATTTGACCCAGCAATCCCATTACTGGGTAAATACCCAAAGGAATATAAATCATTCTGTTATAAAGAAAACGTGCATGTGTATGTTCATTGCAGCACTACTTGCAATACCAAAGACATGGAATCAACACAAATGCCCATAAATGATAGACTGGATAAAGAAAACATGGTACATACACACCATGGAATACTATGCAGCCATAAGAAGGAATGAGATCATGTCCTTTGCAGGGACATGGGTGGAGCTGGAAGCTGTTATCCTCAGCAAACTAACGCAGGAACAGAAAACCAAACACTGCGTGTTCTCACTTATAAGTGGGAGCTGAACAATGAAAACACATGGACACATGAGAGGAACAACACACACTGGGGCTTCTCAGTGGGAGGGAGAGCATCAGGAAGAATAGCTAATGGATGCTGGACTTAATACCAAGGCGATGGGTTGATCTGTGAAGCAAACCACCATGGCACACGTTTACATATATAATAAACCTGCACATCCTGCACATGTGCCTCAGAACTTAAAAGTCGAAGGAAATCAAAAACAAAAACAAATAGTTAACAAGAAAATAAGTTTATTTTTGTTGCTTTTTGTTTGTTTCTTTGTTTGTGATAAAGTCTTGCTCTGGCACCCCTGCTGGAGTGTAGTGGCATGATCACGGCTCACTGCAACCTGCAACCTCTGCCTCCCAGGTTCAAGTGATTCTTGTGCCTCAGCCTCCCAAGTAGCTGGGATTACAGGCATGCACCACTATGGCCTAGCTCATTTTTGTGTTTTTAGTAGAGGTGGTGTTTTGCCATGTTGGCCAGGCTGGTCTCAAACTCCTGGCCTCAAGCGATCCTCTTGCCTCAGCCTCCCAAAGTGCTGGGATTACAGGCATGAGCCACTGGGCTGGCCATCAGGGAAATAACTTTAAATGATAGCTATCACAGTTTTCATAAGTAATCTGGGTAAACTATTTTTAAAAATTAATTAGGTAAATGTAATGGAATAAATGCTTATAAATGATCTTATCATATAATTTAAAATCTAAAGTTATATGAAGTTAAATAATAGATATTCATTAAATGTCTGGGTCATTTCCTTTTAAAAAGTTATAGGAAAACATTTTTCTAAAAAAAGAAATGTGTTCTTATTTAAAGGAAAATAATTTTTGTCTAATTCCAAGGTTATTTAAAAGTTATTTATGAAACAAGATAAAGGTAGTCAGTAAATATGAGCAATGTAAAGAAAGTTACAAATATAAAGAGTTGTTTTTGGCAAGAAAGGTTAAAAGGAAAATAATTTTATGTAAGAAAGAATCTCGTGTGGTAAAATTTTGTCCTGAAATAAAATGACTGGTTATTTAAGAAAGAGGGATGTTTAGGATAAAACAGGAAGTCCAAGCATGTTGTAAATGATTTGTATCAAGTTGTCTGTAATTAAAGGGAAACTATTTATAATACTTTTTCTAGAGATTGGGTTTTGATCTAAAAAAAACAAACACTAAAGAATTGGTTAGAACAGCAAAATTTTCTTAAGGTATTGATTTACTCTTAATAAAATTACAAGAGATTTTAATTTTTTTTTTAGCCCAAAGTTCAACTTTTATTGCATTTTGCTGTTTTCAGCTTTCTCTCCCCTTTTAAAAGGCCTGAAATAATAACTCTCCTTCAACTCATTTTCAGCTCCTGTAAGTTTTTCTCCCCTCAGGTTCTAATTATTTGTTGTGGCCTGATGCTAAAAATGTTTTATCTTAAAGGTCTAAAGGAAATGTTTTCTTCTAACATAGTGTCCTGTGCTCTTGGCTTTAAATTGTTCTATGAATCTGAAAATTTTTACTTGTGACCCAGGAAACATTCTTCCTATGTCTAATTCAAGTACTATTTTCATTAGTTTTGACTTGCAGATTATCTAAATGGATTCCCCATAGGGAACAGAAATTACACTGCAGAAGGTCTTTGCTTTTGCCTTTTGGTAACTGGCCTAACAAACAGATTTTATGTTTTATTGAAATAATTCCTATATCATTACTATTAAGTTTTGGTTTGCTTAGAAAAAACTGAAAAAACATTCTAAATTAAAGTTATTGCATCCGTGTAACTTTCTGTATGTGCTTTTCAAGTTTTTGTGCCATTCAATTACAGGGTTTGACTCTTGAGTCTAAAAAGGACACTAAGTCCTGCTCAATCTTAAATACTGACAGCAGTTAAAGCCTCATCTTCAGACCTGGTAGAAGATGCCAATCAAAATAAACTGCTTTCATGAGACACAGGGCCAGAAATTAAACGTATTCGACTTCCCAAGGCTCAGGGACTATTGTGGAAGAGCTGGGTGCATGAGATTGTAAGGGCTGATGTTGAGAGATTAAATTAGTTTGGTTCTCTATAAACCTAACCATTAATGTCAAAGGCACACTGATGCAAAACCAGCATATGGCTGGTTTTTGAGCATTTTCTTAGAGCATTAGCACACTCCTTAAAAAAAGGTTATACAGGTTATAGAAAGGTTTATGGAAATTATATCTTACGGTCAAATGACTAAAATTTAGTAGATTTTGCTTATAATTTTTTTTTTGAGACAGAGTCTTGCTCTGTTGCCCAGGTTGGAGTGCGGTGGCACAATCTCAACTCACTGCAACCTCTGCCTCCTGGGTTCAAGCAATTCTCCTGCCTCAGCCTCCCAAGTAGCTGGGACTACAGGCACATGCCACCACACCTGGGTAATTTTTGTATTTTTAGTGGAGACAGGGTTTCACCATGTTGGCCAGGCTGGTCTCGAACTCCTGACCTCAAGTGATCCACCTGCCTTGGCGTCCCAAAGTGCTGGGATTACAGGCATGAGCCACCATGCCCAGCCTGTTTATAAAATTTTGAGAGATTTAGTTGTTCTTATGCTGTCTTTATTAGGGCTTATTGTTTAGGAAAGTAAGTCTCTTTTCTCAAAGAATAAAAGATTTTTCCTTTTTGAAATCTTTGAGTTATCATTTTGGCTAAAAAAAGAATTATTTTATAATATTTTACCATGATCCTATTTTGTGATATCAAGTGTTATATTTGACAAACTTTCCAAAATCAAATTCTGACTTTGCTTCCCTTAATTTTTTTTGATATTAGGTCTCCTGAAGTGCAAAAAAGACATATTTGGCTTGATATAAAATCATATAGGAAGTTTTATCAAATATGAAATGGTATTTACCATTTTTCAGATTCCTGTGATTGGGACTAGTCTTTTTTTTTTTTTTTTAAGATGGAGTCTCGTCCTGTTGCCCAGGCTGGAGTGCAGTGGCACGATCTCAGCTCACTGCAACCTCGGCCTCCTGGATTCAAGCGATTCTTCTGCCCCAGCCTCCCAAGTAGCTGGGATTACAGGCACGTGCCACCACGCCTGGCTAATTTTTGTGTTTTTAGTAGAGATGGGGTTTCACCATGTTGGTCAGGCTGGTCTCGAACTCCTGACCTCGTGATCCACCCACCTCGGCCTCCCAAAGTGCTGGGATTACACGCATGAGCCACCATGCCTGGCCTCGGATGAGTCTTAGTATATGTTGTCAGTAGTAATTATGCTTATCATGTAAAATTGTTGTATGCCACAGAAGTAACTAAATTTCCTTGTCAGTCCTGTCTAACTATGACTGTTCTAAGAGTTTTGTCATCCACAGTTGTTTTACTTTTATCCTTTTTTTTTTCTGAGAAAGAGTCATACTCTGTCACCCAGGCTGGAGTGCAGTGGTGCAATCTTGGCTCAATGCAATCTCTGCCTCCCGAATTCAAGTGATTCTTCCACCTCAGCCTCCCAAGTAGCTGGGATTACAGGTGCATGCCACCATGCCCAGCTAATTTTTGTATTTTTAGTAAAGATAGGGTTTTGCCATGTTGGCCAGGCTAATCTCAAACTCCTGACCTCAAGTGATCCACCCACCTCAGCTTTCCAAAGTGCTGGGATTACAGACATGAGCCACTGTGCCCAGCCTACTTTTATCCTTTTCAAAAGGTGATTTTATAAATAGCTATATGACTCTGACAGGTGCTTTTGAATGCAGGTTTCTGATAACTTGGGAGATTGTGACACTAGAATAGAGGAGAAACATCTAAGACTCCTGTAGACAGTTAATGTGTTCATAAACATTGAGCAGAACCGGAGTTAATTACATGGACTAAACTAATGGAAAACTGAAATAATCTTTTTATGACTTTGTTTGAAACATTGGTAATTCTTTTGTTTCTGAGTCCAGAAAACCCTTTTTCTTTGAGCTATTTACAGCTTTTAACAATTGGGTAAACTAAATTCCCGTGAGCAAAATCTGAAGCATATTCCTCTACCTGAATTCTCCAGAATTTGAAAACTATTAGCAAGTATACTTAATTTATAGCAGTCTAGTTATTTGCATAAGTTCAATAAGAATCTGTTTTCTTTTGTAACAGGATACAATTGAAGACACTGGTTATTTTACCAAGGCTTTGATTGGAATGGCTTACTTTCAGATATAAATCAACTGCTTTAAGGAATCAAAGTTGACTTACAGAGTCATAAAAGCCCCTTGGGAAAGCTGGCCTCATGCCTTTCCACACAGTTCCTGTACAGTTTCCTGACGTGTGGTAAGTAAAGCATGTCACTTTCTGGGCCAGCTGTGGTGCCTCATACCTGTAATCCCAGCACTTTGGGAGGCCAAGGTGGGTGGATCACTTAAGGTCAGAAGTTTGAGACCAGTTGGCCAACAGGCCAACAGAGCAAAACCCCATCTCTACTAAAAATAAAAAAATGAGTTGGGCATGGTGGCATGTGCATGTAATTCCAGCTATTTGGGAGGCTGAGGCACGAGAATCACTTGAACCTAGGTGGCAGAGGTTGCAGTGAGCCGATATTGCACCATTGCACTCCAGCCTGGGTGACAGAGTGAGACTTTGTCTCAAAAAAAAAAAAAAAGTCACTTTCTGATAGGCCCAGGAGACTCAAATTATCTTGGGAATTCACCCAATTAATACAGGTATCTGCAGGTACAGGCTAGGCTCAAGTCCAATCTGAAATTTCTTATGGAATAAAGTTCCAGCAAAGCCAGTTTTTTTTTTTTTAAAGAGCCTATATGGCAAATAATTTTTTCTTTTTTGAGACAGAATCTTGCTCTGTTGCCCAGGCTGGAGTACAGTGGCACGATCTGGGCTCACTGCAACTTCTGCCTCTGAGATTCAAGTGATTCTCATGCCTCAGCCTCCTGAATATCTGGACTACAGGCATGTGCCACCATGCCTGGCTAGTTTTTGTATTTTTAGTGGAGATGGGTTTTCTCCCTGTTGCCCAGGCTGGTCTTGAACTTCTGGCCTCAAGTGAGCCACCTGTTTCGGCCTCCCAAAGTGCTGGGATTACAGGTGTGAGCCACTGCGCCCAGCCAGCACATAATTATTCTTGCTGACTTCATGCAAATACACAGGCCAAGTATAATAAGACTAACACTTATTTTATGCATAAATTTGTCCTATGATTTGTATTTAGTGAAAATGGGGACTGGAGAGAGAAAAATTATTTTTCAAAGTGAACTATAGTGTACCTGTTATTAGATTCTAGTCTTGCCTAATATTTTTCAATTTTTATTATTTTCTAGTTTGGACTGAATTTAAAAATTTTGGGGGGGTACAGGTATTCAAAATAATATTTTCAATTTTTTTCTTCTTTCCTTCCTTTTTTTCCATTTTTTGTGATTTGAAATCACTAAAAGTTATGCTGTGCTTTCTTAAAACCCTGTGAACTGAAGCTACACAACTTAAACTTCAGAAGAAAATAACAGCAACCTATATGCCAGCCTACTGATGTATGAACTTCAGAGAAAAATGGCTCTATCTTTTCATTTGTTTGTTGTTTTCTTTCTTTCTGTCCCTATTTTCTGTTTGTAGAACATGATACTTTACAACCTGCTAAAAATGAGCTTTTCTAATAATGTGAGACCTACCTGTCTAGAATAGATCATCCTAGCTATAAGTGATCAGAAAAACCTGAGACTGGAGACTCATTTTCTTCTAAAATGCTCTTTCTGAAAGATTTTAAAAAGAAACAGAAAAAATGTGAAAGGAAAATAAATCTCGGATTCCAAAATCACTAAGCCAAGGGAAAAGTCAAGCTGGAAACTATGTCAGGCGAACCTACCTCCCATTTTATTCCTAAATAAGACAGCTACAAAGATAAAAAAAAAATCTCCCTCACAATTTGCCCACAAGGAAATTTCTTGTGGGCCTCAAGATCTTTACCCTGAAACAGTTCTGTTGAATTTCACCCTGGCAATGTAAACTGATAGCTTATTTTCACAGATGTGGGACAGGAAGTCATCCCTCTGCTCACCTGAGACAATTGCATATCCGATTGCTTCCTGTGCCCTATTGTTTATGTAAAAATGCAGATACACTGAGACAGACTAAACTTTTTTTTTCTTTTTCTTTTTTTTTTTTTTTTTTTTGAGTCAGAGTCTCACCCTGTCACCCAGGCTGGAGTGCAGTGGTGCAATCTCAGCTCACTGCAACCCTTGCCTTCCAGGTTCAAGTTATTCTCCTGCCTCAGCCTCCCATATAACTGGGACTATAGGCACATGCCCTCATGCCCGGCTAATTTTTGTATTTTTAGTATAGGGGTTTCTCTATGTTGGCCAAGGCTGGTCTCAAACTCCTGAGAGTGAGAGGTCCTGAGAGACCTCGAGTGATCCACCCGCCTCAGCCTCCCAAAGTGCTGGGATTACAGGTGTGAGCTACCATGCCTGGCTCAGACTAAATTGTGTATTCAGTGAAAGGCTGATCAAGGACTCAAAAGAATGCAACCTTTTGTCTTTTATCTACCTATAACCTGGAAGCCCACCCTCACCCCCATCCCACTTTTGAGTTGTCCCACCTTTCCTGACTGAGCCAATGCACATCTTACACATATTATGTCTCATGTCCCCCTAAAATGTATAAAACCAAGCTGTATCCCAACCACCTTGGGCACATGTCATCAGGACCTCTTGAGGCTGTGTCATGGGCGTGTCCTTAACCTTGGCAAATTAAACTTTCTAAATTGTTTGAGACCTGTCTCAGATATTTTGGGTTCATAGGTGATTCTTTTCCTGCTGGAACTGATTGTAAGCAGGTAAAAGCAGCCACGCCACTTCTTGAAGGCTTTGCTGCTTAGAAATTTCTTCCACCAGATGTCCTAGGTCTTTACTCTTAAGTTTGACCTTCTACAGAGTCCTAGAGCATGGAGACAATGCAGCCAGTTCTTTGTTTATACTAACAAGGTTTGGTCCAGTTCCTAATAAATTCTTAATTTGTATCTGAGATGTCAGCTTGGCCTTTACTGTCTATATTTGTATGAACATTTTGATCACAACCACTTAATCAATCTCTAAGAAGTTCCAAACTTTCCCTCAGGAAAAGTTTGCCCTGGCTGGTTTTGAACTCCTGGCTTCAAGTAATCCTCCCACCTTGGCCTCTCAAAGTGCTGGGATGACAGGCATAAGCCACCATTCTCAGCTGATGCCTTCCATTACTTGTTCTTGTTGAATAGCTCTGGTTAGAACTTCCATTACAATATTGAATAGCAGGGCATCCTTTTCTTGTTCCTGATCTTAGGGGGAAAACTTTCAGTATTTCATCATTGATATCCTGCTAGCTGTGGCTTTCTCATAAATGCTTTATATCGTGTTGGGAAATGGTCTCTTTATTCCTAGTTTTCTTAATTTTTATCATTAAAAGGTTAGATTTTGTTAAATACTTTTTCTGTGTCAACTGAAATGATCATTTGGTTTTTCCCCTTCATTCTGTTAATATGATGTGTTACATGGATTGATTTTCTTATGTGTAATCACCCCTGCATTCTTGGAATAAATTCCACTTGGTTATGGTGAATGATCATTTTAATTTGCTGTTGAGTTCAACCTGCTAATATTTTATTGAGGATTTTATCATCTATATTTATAAAGGATATTGGTCTGTAATTTTCTTTTCTAATGATGTCTTTATCTGCCTTTGGTATCAGGGTAATGCTAACCTCATAGAATTAGTTAGAAAGTTTTTCTCTGCTTCATTTTTTTGGAAGAGTTTAAGAAGGATTGTTGTTAATTCTTTAAATGTTTAGTAGTTGATATCTGCATCATCATCCTAAGGGTGTCTCCAGCTATATTCATCTCAGTTTTCAATTTGCTTTTCTGTCCTATCAGTTTTCTCTGTGGAAGGCAAATATGTTCCATGAAGAAGGCTGTTAGATGTTGTATAGAACTCCTCTCCATATTTTTCTCTTAGTTTTTAATATATTTCTATGTCAGGTTTGATCTGCTTGGTCAACAAATGATACTGGTGTAACTGGGAAGTGGCATAATGTAAAAATCCCAGATTGGAGTTTTTCCTTTTCCTCTCCCATCTTTCTGTATCTTTTCTCATAGTCTTTTTGTGAACATTCTTTTTTTTTTCTCCTTCTTCCTGCAATTCCCATTTGAAATGAGCCTTATTAACTTCCCAGTTTGCAGGTAGTTTTAAGTCTTTTATCGTCCTCCACAACTTCTTGGCGATTTAATTTCCAAGCTTCAGTCTCTTTCAGGTGCAGCTCCCAGAATTTGTGCAGTCTTGGTTCATGCTTCTGAGTGGCCAGCTCCTCAGCTGCTGCAAAAGCCTCCTTCTCCATGCTGTCCACTGACACCTTCTCAGCCATAGTCTCAGCTGTCCTATGGCAGTGCTTTTCTCCATACTGTACCCCCCAACTCCCCATTTTGATACACAGTTTTGCTGGGCATAGACTTTTTTCTCTTGTACTCTTAGTATGCCCATCCCCTGCCTTCTCGATGGCTCCTGATGACAAATCAGCTGTTAATCTTATTGAGGATCCCTTGTATGTGAAAAGTCATTTTTCTCTTGCCTCTTTCAAGATGATATTTTTCTCTTTGTCTTTGACAGTTTGATTATGTTGTGTTTAGGTGTGGATCTCTTGTTGTTTATCCTGCTTGGAGCTCATTGAGCTTTTTGGATGTGTAGATTAATCTAATTTGGGAAGTTTTCAAACATTATTTCTTCAAATATTTATGCCTTTCTCTTCTCTTTCTCAGGCTATTGTTATTTATTTTTATGTTCTTATACTTGAGGGTGTTCTACAGGTTTTATAGGTTTTGTTCATTTTTCATCATTCTTTTTTCTTTCTGTTTCTCAAATTGGATAATCTCAGTTTCTCAAATTGGATAATCAGTGAACCTTCAAGTTCACTGATTTTCATTCTGCCTTCTCAACTCTGCTCTTGAGCTCCTATCAAATTTTTCATTTCAGTTATTATACTTTTCAACCCCAGGGTTTCTATTTGGTTATTAAAAAATAATTTCTACCTCCTTATTGATAAGTTCTATTGAGTGAGCCATTATT